>NC_000002.12:45341867-45644897 GCF_000001405.40 Homo sapiens
CTTGTACCATGACGGCTTCTGCCAGTTTTCACCTAGAAGCCTGGAGGACCTTGGTAAATAACTGGACTCATCTGTCCTCACTCTATCCTCAAGAAGTTTGTTCCAAAAAGGGCAGTGTATTAGTCTGTTCTCACACTGCTATAAAGAGCTGCCCAAGACTGGGTAATGTTTAAAGAAAAGAGGTGTAATTGACTGGCAATTCCACATGGCTGGGGAGGCCTCAGGAAACTTACAATCATGGCGGAAGGAGAACAGGCACATCTTATATGGCAGCAGGTGAGAGTGAGTGTGTTAAGCCCAGGGGGGATCCGCCATTTATAAAACGATCAGATCTCGTGAGAACTCCCTCACTATCACAAGAGCAGCATGGGGGAAACTGCCCCATGATCCAGTCACCTTCCATGAGGTCCCTCCCTCAACATGTGGAGATTATGGGGATTACAATTTCAGATGAGATTTGGGTGGTGACACAGAGCCAAACCATATCAGGCAGCTTGATGCCACCCAGGAGACACTGCAGACCTAGGTCAGTCTCCTCAACTCTGGGTCACTGGGCCAAGGAGACTTTTTCAACATAAAGGCCCCAAGCTCTTGGCATGTATGTCCTGGAATTATGAAGCATGGATTAAAGCGTGGGATCTCCCCATCCAGCCCCAAACCCTGACATCCAGGCACTATCACCACACCCAGCAGGGCTCCCAGGACCAGAGAGGCCTCCTGACCCTTTCTTCACACCCCTTAAAGACAGGTTCTGGAAGGTGCCTGACACAGCTGGGCTGGGACCAAAGTCTGTGGCTCAGTCACCTCTGCTGGCCCTTCTGTCATTGTAGGAGTCACAAGGGGCTCTATCCATATCCCCACCTCCTTGTCTCCCACAGATCAGCTTAAAGTATACTTTCTCTGGCCATAATCCCTAAGCCCTAGAAGGGACTGAGCACAACTTCACTCATCACCTGGCCCAACTCAGGGAGGGTCAAGTCACCCCAGCACTCCAGCTATAGCTAAGGATGAGCTAGATGAAAGCTTTTGGAGAGCCTCTGGCTTCTTTTTCTAAGAGTAGGGTAAAGAAAGATGCTCCCTGCAGCATCTTCAGTGATCTAATTATCAGGAGGACACCACATTTTAAATTTCTCTCCATGGTGGCTTTTTTCCAAGGCAGTGCTAATAAAATCTCTAACCCACGTGGAGCCCCCCACTGCTCATCAACTATTAGCTGCCCTCAGGCTGTACCAGTCTGTTTATATTATAAATAAAGGCTGAAATATGCAGCTTGCTCGGTGCAGGATCCTTGGGGGCCGTGGGGAGCGGAGCCAGCCCCCTCCACTGCCTGCCCACCCCAGGTTAGGGAGGGATAGCCCAGCAGAGGTTTTGCCTGAAGCCAGCTCCTTTGGACATTAACAAACCACTACAAGAACCTGCGATCAGTCCCTGGAATCCTGCTTTAATTATTTAGGAGGAAGAGTGTTTTTGCTTCCCCCAAGCTCTGCAGCCCCCCAGAGCCCCCAGAATCATTGTTCAATGCTTATTACCGCCGCAGGCCCGGGCACAGTGTTGCAGAGACCTCATTTCAATATTTACCACTTAGATCACTTAAGGGCTGTCAGCTTTAATAACATTTTATCAATTGGATACTTATATTATTCACGGCTTCATAAAAATAACAAGACCTGCCTTAGCATTTCAATCATACCCGGACTAATTTCAGTGACTGCTCAGGGATTTCGTTTTTATTAACATTTAGATCCGCTGCAACTGATTCTCTTCCTGGACGCATAGCACATGAGGTGGCCACCAGCAGGCTGTGGGGGCGCGTGCGGAGCGATCTGCCCTGGGCATGTGGTCAGGGAAGGCACGGAGTTGACACGCCAAGAGGCCAGGCTGAGATCCCGCCCCATTTGTGTGACTGTTCATGGTGGGTGGCCTGGCTCAGGGCTCTGCTGGGGGAAAACTCCCCCCTCTAGCCTTTGACAATCCGTTCCCAGCCTGGCCTCCTTCCTCCCAGTCCTGGGGCTTGCAGCCACAGTGACTATCTCCTGGGCTCTGAAAAGCAGCGCTGTACTCCACAGGGCTCCGCCTGGAAGGCCTCCTACCTGTCTTCCACCTGCAGATCCCTACTCAGCCTTCTGGGCCCACCTCCAAGGTCACAGCCATGAAGCCCTCTCCTGCTGCCCAAGAGCCAGCAGCATGGTCGGGGCTCAGGGTATGTCTGTGGAGGGAATGGCACCCTCCTTGTCCTTCTGGTCACTTCCCGCCCAGATTCTGATGTCCCTTTCTCCCCCAGGCACCAGAGTTCTGGCCTTTCCTGAAGCCACCATCACACGCCACTCTCCTTTCTCCATCCCTTAGGGGCATGGCATCGGAGCCTACTAGTAACTGCGAGGCAACTCCAGGCCTTTTGTCCGCTGTCCATCTTGGCAACACCCCTTGGAGATGCTGTCCTTCTAGAGGAAACACCGCCTCGCCCAGCAGCTGCCACATGTTCAGGAGTGGCTTGCTCTCTCCTTTGCTGCTCCCGGGCCCCAGGGTCTTCTTCAGCACCCCGTGGCCCCAGGCATGCTGCTGCTGCAGCTTCCTGCCTCCCTGGCCTTGCCTGCTCCTTTGCTCTCCAGTCGTTCTCCTCACAAAGGCCAAGGTTCTTTTATGTCACTCTCCTCTGGGAAGCTTTCAAGCTTCTTCAATACATTTTTATTGCTCTCGGAACCAAATCAAAAGTCCCCCTCTCCCAACCCCTTGCTCTGTGTGCCCCCACCCTCCGGCCTCACCATGCAGCCTTTCTCCCACTCACAGTTGGCTGGCCATCCTGGTCTTTCAGGTTCTCAGTCCACCAAGCCTGTTTCCCCCAGCACCTTTGCAATGACAGCCCTCCCAGGAAGCCCTTCCCACTGCTCCCCACATGGCTCACACTAGCCCCTGCTTCCATGTCACCTAAGAGAGACATTCCCCGATGCCCTCTCTAACGTGGGTTTCTCCCTCCAGCCCTGTCATTCTCTATCTTGGTCCCATTTGCTACCTCCATGGGATCGATCACCACTTGCAATTTTTAAACTTCTTTGTTGATTTGTTCTTCTCCACGAACTCAGAGACTGTAACTGGTGCATAGTAGTTGCTCAATAAAAATGAATTGACTGAACGAATGAATTTATCCACTTCCTTAATCCTTTTCCCTTATGAGAATTCTCCCCATCAGCATCTTTCCTTCTCACATCATCTTGACTGTCTGTGCTGATAAAGGGAGTTTGACTCCTATGGGCCACTCGCGTCACTGGTAAATGTTCAGACTAGTGTCCACGGTCCACAGACAGGAGCACAGTAGTTGAGGACAGCCTCCCTTGTCAGCTGTGCCTCAGTCTGTTCATCTGTAACTTGGGGTTAGTATTATAATATCTACTTCATAGGGTCATTATGAGGATTAAATGAGTTGATATATGTAAAGTGCTTAGAACAGTGCCTGGCACATAGTAAGTGCACGATAAATGCCAACTATTATTATAGTAAGTTTAGAATGGCCATCCCCATTTCCTACAGAGAAAATTGCCCCCCAACACACACACATACACACACACTCCATTTATCACACCCTGTGGGTCGCAGGGAGGTGATTTAATGAAGCTGTGACTCCCTCACTTCCCTGCAGTTGCTGTGAATGGCCTTGGGGTGGGGATGGGGTGGAGGCTGGGTGAATGCTTCCCGCCGGCTCTCCAGGCAGATCTTCACATTGAGGGGGACAGGCTTTCTTGCAAGAAGGTACTTCTCATTCCTGCCTACCATCCCAAGGTAGACTCCCTGAATCTCCATAGAAAAAGCTTATTCTTTGCAATAGAGACTTAAGGAAAGTCAGTGTCCAGTAACTGCTCCCAGGAGAGGATTGCCACAGCTGCATGCCCCAGGGGGGCAACGAGTGCTGCTGGAGGGAAGTAGATGGGGAAGCCTGGGGCTGGCCAGATTCCAATGTCATTTTCTCCCCAGGCACCACTGCTGTCCTGGCTGGAGTCCTCTAAACAGAGGCAGATATTCCAGAGCTGCCAGGCTCCATTTGTGCCCCATAATCGGTACGGATTCTGTCAGTAAATTTGTCTATTGCTTGAAGCTTCTGTTTCTGTTAAAGAGATGTTAAATGCCTCCCAGGTGACTGGGCTGCAAGGTTTCCAGTCTCCCAGGGGCTGTGTGGGGTGTGTGTGTGTGTGTGTGTCTGTGTGTCTGTGGTGGGGGAGCTATGTGAAGTAAGACCTATCCATTTTGACACCCTGAGTTGCCTGGGTTCTGTCCTCCCAAGTGTTCTAAATTGCAGGAGAAATTGCCCTGACAGAACCTCCTACTGACAGACAGTGTCTTTTGTTACAGACGGAGGTGTTGATCCTTCTCTAATCAACAGCTTAATTAGGTCTGCCAAGATGAAAGAGCCATTTTTACTTTGGGAACTAATATTTATAGACAACCTTCTTCCCAGCCCCTGCACTGGAGGTGTTAACAACTTGAGGGCTAAATCAAATAAAAATTATAAAACTCATTACTTCACTCTACAAAAACCACTGGCAAACTCAGAACTCTGCAGACTGTAAGCTGCCCCATCAAGCAGCTTCATTCACTGCCATAGAGCCCAGCACAGATTCTGGCACATGGTGGGCACTCAGGAAGCATTTGTTGAATCTTGAAAGAGTGGAGAGTCAGTTTGGTGGCTTCCTTCTCTAGCAGAAAACACTATGGCATTGTGGTTAAGAGCTTGGCTTGAGAATTAGACAGTCCTGGAATTAAATCCTGGCAGCCTCACCACTCAGCTGTATGACCTTGGGCAAGTTGTTAAACATCTCTAAGCCTCAGTTTCCATGGCTGCAAAATGGGACAATAATAATACCTATAATTAGGGCTGTTGCCCTTAAAGCCTGTATGTAGCACAGTCTTTGGCACAGAGAAGTTCCTTTAGTATTGGCTACTTGGAGCAGAGGTGGTAGCAGTAGGGGTAGAAGTGACAAGTAAACCTCAGAGCCTCTATTGCTATAGGAAGGTCTCTGGGTAGCTTTTAAGTTAACTTGTTTTATAGACTGCTCAGTCCTGTTAAGAATGTATTAGGCTTCCTTATTTGGGAAATGAAAATTAAAACCACAGTGAGATACTACTTCATACCCACCAGGCCAGCTATAATAAAGAAAACTGGAAAATAACAATGTTGGAGAGGATGTTGAAAAATTGGAACTCTCACACGTTGATGGTGGGTACAATCAATGATGCAGCCAGTGTGAAAAGTGATTGGGTGATTCCTTAAAAAATTCAGCATAGAATTACCATATATCCAGCAATTCCACTCTTAAGTATATGTCTTAGTTTGTTCAGGATGCTATAACAAAAATACCTTAGAATGGGTAATTTATAAACAGTAGACATTTATTGCTCACAGTTCTAGAGGCTGGGAAGTCCAAGATTAAAGTACCAGCAGATTCAGTATCTGACGAGGTCCTGTTTCTCATAGATGGATCCTTCTATGTGTCCTCACATGGCAGAAGGAGCAAGGGAGCTCCCTCAAGCCTCTTTTATAAGGGCAATGATCCCATTCATGATTGTGGACCCCTCATAACCTAATCACTCCCTAAAAGCTCTACCTGTTAATACCGCCACAGTGGGGATCAGGTTTCAATACGATTTTTGAGGGACATAAACATTCAGATCACAGCAGTATATGCTCCAAAGAATCAAAAATAGAGGCTCAAACAGATTCTTGTTCACCCATGTTCATAGCAGCATTATCCACAATAATCAAAAAGTAAAAACAACCCAAATGTCTGTCAGTTGGTGAACAGAAAAACAAAATGAAGTATATTTACACAATGGAATATTATTCAGTCATGAAGAGGAATGCAATTCTAACACATGCTACAACATGGATGAACCTTAAAAACATTATACTAAGTAAAAGAGGCCAGACACAAAAGACCACTTGCTGTATGATTCCATTTATATGAAATGTCTGGAACAGGTCCAAAGAGACAGAAAGTAGATTAGTGGTTGCTATGGCAGCCCATTCCTCCTTAAGCTGGGGACACATAGGAGAATGGCCTTGGGACGGGGATAGGGTGGAGGTCAGGTGAATGCTTGCTCCTGGCTTGCTTGATAATGGGTATGGGGTTTCTTTTGAGGGTGATGGAAATGGAATTAGATAGTGGTGGTGGTTGCACAACATAGTTAATATACTAAAACCCACCAAATGTCATACCTTAAATTTTACATTATGTGAATTATACCTCAATTTTAAAAAAAGAAAAAAGAATGTGTTGGGCTCCCAGTGGTTGACACTCAGCACTCATTCCCATGGCACCCATGTGCCCACCCCTGCAGGCGGCCTTCTTCATCAACTTGCTGTCTGGGACATGAACTAACAACTGTAGTCACAGCCCATACAGTATAAAACTTTCTCTAACACTTCACAATTTGCAAATTACCTTCCTATTTGATCCTTACAATAGCCATGAAGGCAGGTATTATTATCACTATTCTACAGATGTGGAAACTAAAATCCACAAATATGAAGCAACTGGATGAAGATCACCCAGCTAACAAGTGAAAGAGTTGGAACTGGAACGCAAGCCTTCAAACCCCAAATCCCTACTGATGATACACAATTTGTTCAACGGTGCTTTCAAATCATCACAACAGTGAGCTACTTCTGAACACAGGCCTGAGTTATCTCTGATTTTAGCACTCAGCCTCATCTACAAAGGCAGCATTCCTGACCCTGTGAGTTGAGGGCCTCCAGAGCGCATGTCCCACAAGAAAGAGAAAAAGCTTCACATTCTGCACCTACTAAACAGGTCGCTCAATTCCTATTTCACCCAGGCAAGGAGTTGGCCTGCAGTACGAGTCAGTATTCAGCTGCCAGGTACCCCTCTGTATGTCCTGCTGATTTGGACAGTGACTACACAACTCAAGTAAGGAGCAGTAAAGAAGTCCCAGTTTTCACTCATTTCTGTTGCCTTCCATAGTCTGCTGCATTTGGAAGAAGGCTTCTCATGAAGTTCAGAGTCTTTTACTATCAAGATGAATCAGGTGTTGGGGACATCTAACCATCTGAGTCAAGAAGAAAAAGCCAGGCCAGGCGAGGTGGCTCACACCTGTAATCCCAGCACTTTGGGAGGCCGAAGCGGGCGGATCACCTGAGGTCGGGAGTTCGAGACCAGCCTGACCAACATGAAGAAACCCCGTCTCTACTGAAAATACAAAATTAGCCAGGCGTGGTGGCACACGCCTGTAATCCCAGCTACTCAGGAGGCTGAGGCATGACAGTCACTTGAACCCGGAGGCAGAAGTTGCAATGAGCTGAGATCGTGCCATTGCACTCCAGCCTGGGCAACAAGAGCGAAACTCTGTCTCAAAAAAAAAAAAAAAAAAAAGGAAAAGTCCAGATGCAAAGAAGCTGAGAAGAGTGAGGGGGGCTTTCCATTCCAGATGTTAGAGGAGTGAGAGAAAGGGAGGCAAAGGAGAACCAAGGAATAGAGTGGAGAATATGCAGTGTGCGAAGAGAACCATAAGGAGCCCAGCCTTCCTGGAACAAGAAGGGCAAAGATGAGGCTGCGAGAGCAGGTGGGAACCAGATTTCAAAGGCCACGGACAGCAGGCTAAGGAGGGAGGCCCTCTCTAGTAGGCAGTGGGAAGCCACTGGAACTTCTTGAGTAGGAAACGGATACGAGAGTTCATATTAGTCTCCAAGAGATAAGCTGTCGATGTGGAAAAGCCATTAAAAAGAAAAAACACCTGCTTATTTATGGGCCTTAGATGTAGTTTCTGCGGGTGCCCAAGAAAGACTTTAATGAGCAACCAAGTTGGTGTTTGGTTGCCTCATGAGGAATGGAACTAGGGAGATGTATATGGAAGTATATACCCAAATTTTTAACTATGAGATGTTGGGGAAAGGTCCTAAAATCCCAAGGCTCTCTTCTTCATTTGACTCCCCGGTACTTTGTTGAAATAGAAGCTGACCCCTTCAGAACTGGTCAGATTCAATGGATGCAAAGATAATGGCCTTGTCTTCTTAAGGCTGAAAATGACCTTGAAGTCATTGATGCCTCCACGTGAAGCCCACATTCTGAAGTAACATCCTTGCCAAATTGTTGTCCAGCCTTTGCCTGAATGCCTGGCAGTGACAGGGTTGTCACTGTCTATGGGGGTAACCTTCTCTATCTTTAGAAATGTCTGGCTTTTAGAAACTATTTCCTTAGATAAAGTAAAAACCTGACTTCCTGTGACTTCCATTCATTGGCCTCATTCCACCTCTTGGGGCTGCTCAGAAACACATTTGCTCATTGTTGCACATGGTGGCTCTTCCATATTTTAAGCCTGCTGTTCATCCTCCATGCCTACTCGGTGAGTCTTCTCTTTGTATTTCTAATCTGACACTGATTTGAAGCTCTAAACTACCCTAGTCATTTTGGTCCTTTCTCTTTTCTAACAATTTACTTTTCAGAGAAGGAAAAGTTCATATTCTGCATTTCCTCTGAGATACTTCTGAACTTCCCCTCCATGGGTTAGCACAGCATAGGAAAATTCAGTAAAGGGATGGTTTATCTCCTCCTCATCTCCCAAATGTTCCATCTGTCTGGATGACAGCAGGGATGGGGACCTGGAACTAGACACATCAGCTGGGATATAGCTGCTTCTGAGGGGATGTCAAGTGTAACAGCAGAATGTGACATGAGTTCGTTAATGGGCATGAATTAGCAGATGTGACAGGGGTTAATGGGCATGAGCTAGTCTGACAATGAAGGTCTCAAGGAGGGTCTCCCCATAGATCCAAAGATCGGACATCCAGGAACAAGCAATTCCCCAAGAATCAAGGAGACAGTGGCACCAGGAAAGCTGCACAGCAAGTGGCCATGCCTCAGGCCCAGGGTCCTCTTCTTAAGGAAACTGGTATTCTGGGAAGGCCAACAGTAACAAGGATGCAGGCACAGAAAATTGAGCCCCAGATCTGGGTCTGGATGAGGGACTTTTCTTGGCCAGTTTGCATACCAGTTCTGATTAGTTGGCAGTGAGTCCTGGGGCCTAAGGCTGAACAAGATTCTGGTTCTACCTGCTCTTGCAACCTCATCTCTGCCCTTTTTGCTCCTGGAAGACTGGGCTCCTCATGGTTTCCACCACACACTTTGTATATTCTCCACTCTATTCCTTGGCTCTCCTCTGCCTTCTTTTCTCCCACTCCTCATCTCAACATCTGGAATGGAAAGCCCTCCTCACTCTTCTTAGCTTCTTTACGTCTGGCCTTTTCTTCTTGACTCAACTGGTTGGATGCCCCCAACACTTGATTCACCTAAGACTCTAGGAATCTAAGACAAGATTCTAAGACTGATTCCAGAAAAAGACTTTAATGATTGATTGCAAATGTCATCCCAGGCATAGGAGGGAAGAGTAATGGCTTAAATGGCTTGACTATTTCCAAACCAGCAACAAGGTTTGCCTGTAGAACTGGGGCCAGGGTCAGAATGGGAAGAGAATCAAATGGTACCTGAAGTTATTGAGTCCTGATGCGGGACCAGAGTTGCATCAATTCCTCCTGCCGGAGGACAGGACTCATCTGCATAGAAGTGTATACCAGAAATTTAAACTATGAGATGTTGGGGAAAGTGCCTAAAATCCCAATGCTCTCTTCTTCAACTCACCAGTACTTCATTGAAATAGAAGCTGACCTCCTTCAGAACTCGTCAGATTCAATGGATGCAAAGATAATGGGCTTGTCCTTTTTTTCTTGGGATATACTTCTATATGGGGCAGATGGCAACATACTGAACTTGTAGGGGTTATGGGGGGAGAGACTGCCAAAGCTGGACGATCAGGCAGAACTCAACAACCACAGTCTTCAGGCCAAAATGAGCTTCTGGCCATTTATAATTCCTCCAAATTGTAGTGATGCTTGACGTTCCTCAGTTTAAGTGGCAAATTTATGCAATCGGGAAGCATTCTGCAGAAGCAATTGTTGCAGTGAACAAAAAGAGAATTCCAGCTGTTTCAGGTCAATAAAACAAAACAGAACAAAAAACTTACAAAAACCAGGGGACAGGGAAGGGAGATGAAATGAGGATGGAAATGGTAATAAAGAGATTCACTTCCATAATAAGTAACTGGCAAAATATTTGAAATGTATTTATGTATATTTAAAAGCTTCATACCACTACTTGGAAGGTTATCCTGCATGGGAAACCTGTGATAGAAACTGATCGCGTTTTCTCTGAATGACTTTATTGTAAAAAAAAATGTACATTCTTAATGAGGCAAGGGAAGGCGGGAGGATGGACCACAGCAAGAAGGAAGGCAGAGCATCCTGAGGAGTTTGGAGTAGGATTTTATGCAAATCTAATCAGTTAACAAATCAAATCACAATTATTTAACCCATTATCACTGGTCCAGAGTAATGCCAGGCATATTATTCTTATCAACCCCTCACCCTGTCAAGCCCAGGAAAAAATACGTGTGTTTACTTTTATTATTATGCATCCTGTGATGAGCGCCACAGTTGCTAAGTGCATGCAGCACCTTTAACTAAAGAAACTAATTGCAAGCCACTTTCAATATCTCTTGTTTTTTAATTTAATGTCCTCAGAGAGATATAATTGGGCTGGAGGGAAGAATTTTCACTGAAGTCATGAATTTGCTATATAAATACAAACAAGAAAGAAAGCTAATACAGTAAGGGAATATGGGATTAATTTTGAAATTGTCTGATTAGTGGATTGCTGCCCATCAATAATTGCCTTATATTTTCCCAAGGCCCTCTCTTTATTGGAGTCTGGCACCGCATCTGCCCACAGTCTGTCAATCAGCCTGTGCAGCTGGGAGGGTCTGGGGAGACCACAATTGGAAGCCTGCTGGGGCACCTTGTTAGACAAAGCAATATATCCCAGACGTGAAAACACTCCCATCTCAACTCAGCTGCTAACATCTTTACACTCAATCCTCCTGCCTTGGAGCAGGACCTCAATGTGACTAAGTCTGATTTTTAAAAAGGAAAAGAAAAAGTCACAACTGCCTGTTTACATGTATTTTACAGGCCTGGGCTCTACTGGAATTGGAGGTCAGAAACACCTTCCCCCTTGCAGTCGCTAAGTTGCCTAGTAACATCCTTGAGAAGAGCTCTGCAACAGCTGGAATTTTTAAAGCAACATCGGCGTCATGGGGGACACCTAAACACGCTTCAGACATTTAAAAATTAAGAAATATGATCAGAAGGGCTATGAGCAAGTGTGCAGATGGTGGGTTTCTAGCTTAATCAATGCCTAAGATCTGGAATGTTCCTTAAGCTCCAAGAACATTTCCCATCTATCCTCCCCAGGCCTGGTGCTCCCAGGTCCTTAAAGACATGATCACAGAGAAGATAGGAGGGTCTGTTGACTGAACTCACCATAAACATCTTTTCAAACCACATGCACACACACACACACACACACACACACACACACACACACACACACACAAAGCTGCAGCCCTGCTAATGATATGTTTATGCCATGCCCATTTCCAGAAATATTTATTTCTCTCTACCTTGCCAGCAATCAGTCAAAATACACAAAAATGGATTTGCATGTAAAGATGCTTCATTTAGAAGACCAAAAATATGATAATAGAACAAAGATGGCCCAGAGCATGCTTTTTTGTTTTGTTTTCTTATCTTCTACTGTTTTCCTTTTCTGTTTGGTAAGCTGAGCATTTGTTTTAAATTGGGATTTTGTCCTTGTGAGGTAGGAAATAAAATGATCTGGAGCCAAGGTACCTAAACATGAGTTTATTAGTGTCAACCAAAAAGTGACTGAGGCAGATGTCAATTGATTTAGAGGCTGATTTGGCCAAGGTTGAGGATGCACCCAGGAAAGAGACACATGGGTCCCAGTAGGATCTGTGTCCTGCGCTTTTTCCAAAGAGGGTTTTGAGGACTTTGATATTTAAAGAGGAGAGGGAGAAGGAAGTGGAGGAGGAAAGGAAAAAAAGGCGAGAGGGCAGGCAATGAGGCAAGTGGTCACATTCTTGTGAGGCTCTGATTGGCACTCAGTAAAGCTACATTTTACATGTGAGAAGAACGGAGTGGTGGGGAAGTCAAGCATGCATTCCTATCTTGCTCAGTAGATCTACATTCTACATGAGATAAAGTAAACATATAAAACTACAGCTGTTTGGGAACAGAAGGAAGGTAGCTTTTTGCATGACTCAGTTCCCAAGCTTAACTTTCCCTTTGATATAGTGAGTTTGGGATCCTGAGATTTTATTTTCCTTTCACATTAGTCATTGAAAGGCAATTTCCTTTCCTCATCACAGGGGCAGAGGTCTAAAGGACAGAGCTAGCTGCAATCCAGGCCTGCGTGGTAAGAAAGCCAGCCCCTGGAACACTGAATGGCTCACATCCATGTTCACCACAGAAACCTTAGGAATCATCCATTCCTTCCTTCTACTTTCCATTTGGTTTTCAGCCTTGAAGTTGGTCACACCTTCCTCCAGTGTGTCTTCCTCCTGTGTGACTAACGAGAGCAGGTGCTGGTGCTTGGAGCACTAAAATCACCCCTGGTTGGCCAGGTGCGGTGGCTCACGCCTGTAATCCCAACACTTTGGGAGGCCAAGGCAGGTGGATCACGAGGTCAGGAGATCGGGACCGTCCTGGCTAACACGGTAAAACCCCATCTCTACTAAAAACACAAAAAATTAACCCAGCGTGGTGGTGGGCGCCTGTAGTCCCAGCTACTTGGGAGGCTGAGGCAGGAGAATCACTTGAACCCAGGAGGCGAAGGTTGCAGTGAGCCAAGATTGCGCCACTGCACTCCAGCCTGGGCGATAGAGTGAGAGTCCATCTCAAAAATAAATAAATAAATAAAATCACCCCAGGTGGACAGCTCAGTGCCCCGGGGTACACACTTACTGTGGCCTTGCCAATTAGCAGGCCTGGGGCCAGTCTGACATTGTACATCTCCTGTTGGGAGAGAACATGAATATTTAAATCAGAGTTGTTGTGAAGCTTAAGAGATAGAAGGCAGGTGGAAACACATTTTCAGCTCTAGTCTAGAGCGTTCTGTCAAAGTAAGGTGATTTTTTTTATTACTAATTCTTTTCATGACTGGTCATAAGAGTGTTATCAAGGCAGCCGCCTTGGCTGTTTGCTTTGCTTTGGGTGAGTGGGCAGCCACCAGCTTAGGTCACAGGTCCATGGGACTTGTACTTACAATAATGAACTTCCCAGGTGCTGGGCTTGTGGCCCCAGGATGAAGGAGTCTTCCCTGCCTCTGTTTCTCTTTTCAAATATGCTGCCCTTCTAAGGCCTGTCAGACATTGGGCCACTTCTCACTCTGGCTTAAAGGAAATCACAATTTCTTTTCCTTACGAGTTCAAACCTCCAGAAGAGCAAAGCAGCGGCAGGCAAAGTCCTTCTCTCCAGGTACCAAGTTGGCTTTTGGGACCTCTGTAGTGTGTACCTGCTATCCCTGCAAGATGTCCTCAACTTTTTCACAGGCTGATCCCAACACCCTGAGGGGGGCTGAATCTTCTACTTTTTCACATTCTTTCCTCACTTGCAATGCTTCTCTTTTTTCTCTGGGGCCCAAGCCTGCCCTTCTTTAAAGCCACCCCTGACCTCATGGCTTCCAACTGCATCTCCCTCCACTTTCTCCAACCACACTAGCCCTTACTCATCTCCTCCTCCCTGAATCTTGCAGCATTCATGGTTGGTAAAGGTCACTGGACAATGATGACCCTCTATGGTCTTGTTCCTTTCACATTTGTTGAAAATTCTCTATGTGCTAAGCACTGTGCCAGGGCAGATCCAAGCAAGAATATATAAAGTTATACTGTTCCTCATTTTATGCTAGCAATTTTCAATTGCCTGGCCTGATTCTAAGCTCCTAGAGGGCAGGAACCATGTCTTATACTGTATTTTGCAAGGTTCATAGTATCTGTCAATAAATATAGAGTGAATGACTCAGCGACAACCAGTGTTTGGAGAGATCCAAGGAGTGAGCTTAAACCACAGAGAAAATGATCTTGAAAATCAAAATGTTGGTTCCCCAGTCAGGACAGCAACGTCCCTTGCCTCCTAGATGGCCCGCCCCATATTACCAAACACATGGCATTGGGGAAAATCAAAGTGTCACAAAATAGTCATGTCTCCTGTCACAAAATAATCAACTCTGTGGTTCAGGTATAACATGGAAACAGTACTAGGACTGGAGCCATCAGTGTGTTCATTCTAGGTCCAGACACAGGCTCCGTGCTTGTGAAGAGAACCCAGGGCTTCTGACTAGAGCACAAGAAGGCCACCAGGACCTGGGCCAGGGACTAGATCCGTGAGATCTCCAAAGTCCCCATGGGCAGAAGCCTTAAGCCACCAAGATGTAAAACTTGATCCTGGATGGGGGGCTAGGAAACCAAGTGGAGATTCCCACAAAACCATGAGACCAGGAAGGGTGAGCTCAGGTGAGGTCTTCACTTCCAGGTTTGTAAGTGTTGGAGAGCCCTATGGCTGTCCTTGGACCTATCCTCTTCTCCACCTCCCTGAGTAACTCTGTCCAGTCCCATGGCCCTCATCTGATCAACGATGATGCCTATATTTACAGCTCCAGACCCAGACTCTTCCTGAGCTCCAGATACTTGGATATCGGATAAGTATCCCAAAGTCAACACGTCCAAAACACATCTCATGATTCCTATCCCAAACCAGCTCCCTCTCCACATTTCCCTTTCTCAGGAAATAGCATTGCTGTTCAGCCACTCTGGCCAAAATCCTAGGAGTCATTTTTGAGTACTCACTTTTCTCTCACACCCCATATGCAATCCTTCAGCAAGTTCCGTTGGCTCCATACTCAAAAGATACGCTGAATTTGATGGCTTCTCATGACCTTGACCACTACGGCAGTGTATGAAGCCAGCCAACCCCACCTGCCTGGGCTACTGCTGCCGTTTCGTGCGTCTTCTTGCTTCCTCCTTTCTCCTCACTAGTCTGTTCTCCACACAGCAGTCATAGTGATGTTTGAAAACCATAAATCAAACCATGTCACTCCACTACTCAAAATCCTCTCGTGGCTTTACTGTATGCCTAGAATAAGATCCCAAACTCCTCCTGTGGACTACAATGCCCCGCCCAGTGTGGCCTCATTTCCTGCCATGCCTTCCTTGCATACTGTGCTCTGGTCACTTTGACCTTCTTGCTTTTCCTTGAGCCCTGTTTCTTGCCTCTGGACCTTTCTACCTCCTCAGTGTTCTTCTCCTGGGTCTTTGTATAGTTCCAACCTCATTTCACTCTCGTGTCCACCGAAATACCTTCCAAAGAGGATCTAGCCCATCTACTCTCCCTTCCCCATGTCCTCATCACTCTTCACCCCCTTTCCTTGTTCATTTTTCTTCATTGTCACTAACTGAAACTATCTATTTTGCTGTCGTTGTTGACATCTTTCCCATATCAGACCCATGAGGGTAGATATTTTGTCTTTTTTGTTATTTGTTATATCCTTAGGGCTTGAATCGTGTTTGGTACATAAGAGGCACTCAAGGAATATTTGCTGAGTAAATTAGTGAATGGATAAATAACCTCTAAACTTAATGCCATATTACTATACTTATGATCACGTACGTAGTAACTCTCATGGAGTAATTTTTAAAACTAAAAGCCCTAGATTTGTAGGAAGGCCTTTCTTTGTGGGGGAAAAATGGTCCCCAAAAGAAACCAAAACAGTAGAGTTGCTAACAGGACAGTGCAGATGATAAAGAGAATGACTAGTTGCCTTCATAAAGCAAAACTCAGGTTTTGCAAGGTTGAGAAAGTGTGGCTGGGCCTTTCCTCCTCCGCCTCATTCTTGTCTCAAAGTTCCCCTACCCCTGCCCCAAGACCTCTGAACTATTAACACTTGCACCCTAGCTCCAATTTCTTACAGCAGAACTGAGACCACACTGGATCATTTCAACAAGACTTCACCAACTCAGGGAAACTGAAAGAAATGCTTGGTATACAGTGAGCCGGGTGCTGTGAGAGGGCACAGGGGAGGAGGAGGAGGAAAGAGCTCTGGCAATGTCCTTCCCTGAGGGCCAGGCTCACTGGCATTGCAGGATGGCCACTTTGGAGAAGACAATGTAAGGTTTGGGAGGTAGAAGGAGGACTTCAAAATGGAGATGGGAAGGTGCTTATACTTCTAATTGTTTATGTCCATCTTCCTCACCACTCATGAGAGATGAAAACTTGAATCCCAGTTTTTACAAGAAAACACCGTGCTTGGAGGCAGGAGTGGCAACAGGTCTGAGTGCCGCAAAGCTGGTGCTTTTTAATCACCTTGGATCCCCATTCCACGAGGACCCATGGAACCAAGGGCCACTTCTCCAGCTGGGGCCTGAGGAACACCGGAAGTGTCCACTTACAGTCTATGGCTTTAAAAAGCCTACAAACATGTGTGCTGGCTTGTTTTAAAATAAATGGTGTCACCCCTGGTTCCCCATGATTCTCACACCAAAGTGGGAGTGGGGGAGCCCGCAGGGGAAGGAAAGCTCTGAAGCAAAGCTGCTCCCTAACCATAAGGCCAGAACCCAGCTAGAAACATGACTGATGATGTGATAAGAGGGTGCCTGAACCATACGGAATGGAGAACAGGAATTCCAAGGTAACTGGCTGCATCTTAGGAACACAGTTTCCATTTACCCACTTGGAACAGAACAATCTGCAGCATAAAAGGAAAGTAAAATTTGGCAGGGCTCATTGTAAGCTGGTGAGGAGGCATGAGTGGAGAGAATTCCTAAAAGAGATCCTAACTTAATCAATCACTTGAAGCAGGAGGCAAAAAGCTGCTTTCAGAAATAGATCAAAAGGGTTGGATTGGCCCAGGCGTGCACACACCGTATCAATCTCTGGCCCAACCGTGCGAGGCCCCAGGCATCACCTCACAAGCGTGCACAGAGCAGCCTGGTTTTATTTGTAAATGCACAGGAACCATCTGAAACCCAACCCCAGGGTAAGGCTGATGGGGCAGGGGCCATGTGGAGTAGGAGTCAGGACCAAATGGAAATTCCCTTGGATTTATTTTCCTCCTGACTTCATGCCAGTGGAACACACACTAAATTCATCCCCAAACTGACAAATTAGTGGGGCCCCATCTAAGAGATGGAAAAGGGCCTGAGGCAAGAAAGAAAGGCCAGGGCTGGCTGGTGCCAAGGACAGAAGACCTGCCTCCCTGGCCTGTACCTGCACGAACTCAACTCCCAGGAACTGAGGCCACTCCTGTCTCTCATCTCCGTGCTCAAGGCTTTGAGCCCAGTATCCAGCCTTAGTTCACCTAACCCTCTGCACATGTAAGAGACTATATTAGTAGCTTCTTTATTTACACAGAAGACATTAATTATATACTTTGTGGTCCATCTTGCTTTTCTCACTTTATATCTTTTTCTCACTTTACAGTATCACTTGGAAATATTTCCATATTAACTTTGGTCCTATGAAAGAATTAAGCCCAAGCACTTTAAATCAGCAATGAATATCTGGAATTACGTTTTCTCCTACGCATTCAGAATGGTACTAGTCACATACAACGCTTGGGAGAATTAAGAAAACAGTCACTCAAAACACTTTCTGTTTTCTGGGGTTTGGATGAGGACGTGGGTTAAGAAAGGCTGATGGGGTATGGTGAACTACAATTTAACCAGTCCTGTATTGATGGACATTTAAGTTGTCCCCTCACCCCTCTTATTTTCCTACTACAAACAATGGTGCAATGAATATCCTTGTAACTGTAACTTGGAGAACTTTGGTGGATATCTCTGTAGAGTCAATTCTTAGTGCAAAAATGCTCCACAGCTAGATTTTAAGCTCCTTCAGGATAGGAAAATTTTTAAATCATCTTTCTTGCTCCCTCACTTAGCACAGTCAATATATAGTAGGGACTCAATAAATACTCGTTGACACGGATTAGTGAAAAAGATACAATCCATACCCTGAAATAATAGAGCCATAAGCACAAAACAAAAAACAAAAAAATGGTTTATGATAAAGTGGTAAGAAAAGTGGTATGGACCTGGTAAAAAGTGCTGCAGGAATTCCAAATGGATGGTGTTAGGTCTTTGATTTCTACCCTTTTTCCTGCATCTGAATTTTATATAACATTGCTAATTAACATCTCCTTCCAAGAGACCAGCAATGGATAGATCACTCCTGCCTTCTTACTCCTGGAAATAACAAGCAGGTGGAAGAAAAAGAACCTGGTCAGAGCTTATTCCTTTCATTGTAATTTTTGGGAGACATCTAGAACATCACTGACAGGCCTGATTTCAAAACACAATCTTCTACTAAATTGACTGGCTCAAGATGTTAGTAAAAATAAATATATATATGGAAAATGCTAGAATTTGGAATTTCATATTTTCCTATCTAAAATAATTTGGATCAGGGCTAGTTATGAACATATCCCACTGCAAACCGGCAATTTCTAAATTCATACTGTACCACAGATATGAGGATTCCAGGCTAGCTATGGGATTTGGGACAACTGTTGTTCACTTTGATACTAGCTGATATTTCATTAAGATGATGTTATCATTATCTTATTAGCAGCACAGCACAACACTGTGAGATTGTATCACCATTTTGCAAATTGGGAAACTGAGGCACAGAGAAATTGAGTACTTGATATCCCATAATTCCTAAATAGCAGAGCTGGCTTTGAATGTTATAAATGTTAAATGTTAAAACCAGCTTTATAATACAATATTTTACAATATTCTTTCCTGATTTATTAATATTAGACATTACCTATTAATTTCTTATTTCAGTAGATAAAGCTCTCTTCAACCTACCCCCTTCCTTTCTTTCATCTTCTTTTTATAGTTATATTATAATTTTTTGGTTAAATCAATAGTCAGAGTTTACATTTTATATGATAGGGATACTATTTTTTAAAAAATTTAATTAATACTTTTCTTTTTCCCCTCAAATAATTTTTCCCCACAGAAAACCATGCGTATGTTCGTTCACCAAGAAGACAAATATAAGAATGTCCACAGCAGAATTAGTTATAATAACCTCCTACTAAAACCAGCCCAAATGCCCATCAACAGTCAAGTGTATAAATAAATTATGCTATACTCATATAATTGAGTACTCTACATACATAATAAATCAATGAGCTATTTTTATATGCAACAAAATGAAAGAATCTCAAAAACATAATATGGAGCAAAAGAAACCAGACACATCACAGTACATTAATCTAATTATATAACATACAAAAACAGACAAAACTAATACTTCAGTTAGAAATAAGTACAGTGGATGCCCTTGAGGGAGGCATAATGACTGTAAAGAGGTGAGAGGGAGGCTCCTGTGTTCTCATAATGTTCTAGTTCTCCATCTGGGTCCTTTATATATGAGTATATTCGTATTTTCACTTTGTGAAAATGCAACAATATGTATACTTAGAATTTCTGTATTTTTATATATGTGTTTTACTTCCATAAAAAAGTGTTTTTAATCATTATAAAAAGATATTCACATCTTTATTATCTTTTGACCTCCCAGATTTTAAAGATTTTGTTGTACTTGTAACATCTGTTTATCCCTTCACCTCCCAACTTTTATTACTTTAATGCTTTTTCACAATCTCTTGGTTTATCTATGCTTATATTTACATTCTCTTCTGTTATCAAAAACCCTACATTTGTTTTAGTTTTAGTTCTGCAGTTAAATAGACTCAGGGCTCACCACCAGATTATTTTCCTGAAGTTTTCCAGTCTTCTCCTAGGTAATTAAAATGCATGCTCTTATTCATCAAAAAAGCTCAATGAAATAATATTCCCTCCACTATGTTCTCATATATTCAAAACGGTTTGTTGGTTGCTTTAGTACAGTATTAGAATGATAGTTCAAGAAAGTATGTTCTATTGTCTTTTAGTCACTCTGAGGCTTGTCGGTTAAAGCCCTATATTACCTCCTATAAGAAATCAATTGCTTTCTTTCCTTCTTTCTTTCTCTCTCTCTCCCTCTCTCTTTTTCTTCTGTTCTTTTTTCTTCCTTTTTTCTTTCTTTCTTTCTCTTTCTCTTTCTTTCTTCCTTTCTTTCTTTCTCCTCTCTTCTCAAAGGATTCTTTGATGTGAAGTTCAGTAATTTTTTGAGGATATATCTCTGAGTTGACCATATTGGCTCATTTTTTTTTCTGGCTGTGTCCTTTCCATATAAAGATTCATACCTCTCTTTTATTTCAGGAAAGATTTTTTTACCTTTAAATATTTGTTCAGTCCATTATTTCTGCTGCCTTCTTTGAAGACCCTACATTGAACCCCTTGGCTTGTCTTCCGTAACTATCATTTCTCTTCTAAGCCTTTCTACTCATTCATTTGCTTTCATTTCATTTCATTATTTTTCTCATTTCTATTCTGTACGCTAATAGTCTTAAATGAAGAATACATACCCCGGGGCAAAGACTTTCCTAAGGGTATGTAAGCACAGATAGTTTTAAGAGCATCAATTTCCATGTTCTCAATTTCTTTATGTATTCTTTCCAAAAATCAATCTGCCAGGAAGTATATCTTAAGTCGAGATGTTTTATGAGTTATTTTTTTCCCAGCTCCTCTTCCCAAATCACTCACCATCACTGGTGTTGGTGAAGGCTCTTTTAATCAAGGCACCATAAACTCTCAGTAGGGCTTCATATCTTTACTTCTCTCATATATATTTATAATAAGTTTGAAGGAAGACATTAGAAACTGAGAATTTTGCCTGTGTTGGCATGTTCTGAATTCACTGTAACATGGGGACACAAAAGAGATGACAAATTTTGTTTATTAATCTCACCTCTTCCAATCCTTAACTATTGTCAAAAAGAGCACTGCTGTTCAGGGAGAGACTTGTGAGGGCCCGCGGGGGACAAATTGTTGACAAGCCCTGGCTCTTATCTATCTTATCTACATATCCATTCATCTAAAATTTTGAGTATTAATATTTATTTTTAAATGATATCTCTACCACAACTTGTTCTTTCTGAATGTCCACCATTCTTGGTGATAGAGCTTAGAGAATTCTCTCACTCACCCATGCCCTGGTCCCTTCAGAGATATATCCACATGACTTTGAGAAGGAGGAAGTGAACAGTTCCACACTCATTTCCAATGTTCTAGCAGGTTAGCGTCACATCTGGAAATGGAACAGATACCTAAGTTAGGGGTTTGTATTTCCTTGAACATTTATTCATACTGGTATGAGAAACATTTTCATTAACTTTTGCCAATAGAGTATGCTATAAACTCCTGTTGATTTTTTATTTGAGCATACATCTCCTTCTCACTGCTACTAGTTAACCACTTGCTCCTCAATTACTCTGTTTTGCCATGCAGTTATTAGATTTATATTATATCAGGGATATGCTATAGATACCACTGTAAATAATGCCCACAGCAACATTAATAAAGTTTTTATAAGTCCTCCACTTACCTAATGGCCCAATAATTGCCTTTTGCTGTTACTTTCCATAAAGTAGTTTAAATTGCATTCTTAAAAGTAGAACATCTACCTCTACCCATGTAGGATAAAATGTTCCCCAAACATATTACAGAACATGATATCCTGAACTTTACCAGTGCAACTTTATTTAATTAGAGACAATTCCTCCCCTTCAGATGTTGATTGTGCTTCTCTAGTCATATCAAACACATCACTATAAACATGCTCCTTTTCAACCATTAAGTAAATGACTAACTTATCTCTGCATAACAACTGTCAAGGATACAACTCTGTTCATCTGTCTTGCCTTTTTAAGACATTTTAAGTTGTCCTAGAAAAGTCGAATTCACCATGATTATACTTTGTTCACAAAACATGGACAATTTCTAATTTTTTAAAGTGAAACTGTGAACTGAATTTCCAATTTTATGCTGTTCTTTTTTAAAATCTGTTTAAGCTACAAAAATGAGGATTCTCTAAAAATAACAAGAATAATTAATAGCAATTTGATAAATCATGAAAAGACTTTTTCTGGGAAAATTGAGAAATTGAGAAATTGAATGGCTCTAAAGATTAGAAAACAAAATCTTTTGCAAGTTAAGTGGGTTCTAATTCCTGGGCTCCAACAAAATTGAGGGAAGATCTAATCAAGTTAGATCATTAAAAAGAATTTTTGATGATCACGATATAATTTTGGCACATAATGTGAAAAAATGTCCAAGTCTTTAGTGAAATTAAAAAAAATAAGACTACTTTGACCTCCATCTGCTTATTTATGTGATCAGCTCTGTCTATAAAAACTGAAAAGAAGAACAGAATTGATGCTAAGCCTGTCACATCCTGGAAATAAGTCATATTTATATATGTACCTATGGATATGTAAATTGAAAAATGCCTCATCCAATACCATTAAGTGGTAATTTTCTAATAAACTTTTATTTTATACATTTAATCATTATTTATCAAAATTTAGAACAAATTTTTTGCTTAATTGTATACTACTAAAAATTATATGGTTTTGGTTGCAAAGAAAAATGATAAGGTAATCAATGAACATTTTTAAATATAAAGATATTGTACTGGCATAAAATTATATGGAAGAAGTGGAAAGGAAATAGGAGTTAAAGGAAAAAAGAAATGATGTACAATATTGGACTACTAAAAAGCTCATGCATTTTGGTACATATCAAAGCATTGTGATATTTAGGTCTGAAAGGATAATTTAAAAGAGTTATGCAAACAGTTGAAAGTGGCTGTTGGGTTATAGTTTCCTAATCTCTGATCTAGACCTAAGAAAGTGATGGAAAAAAATGTTAATAATGTAGATAAAACTTAAAAGTGTGTCATGTCTGTAGCCATTATATTGTGAATAGGAAAGAAAAGTAACTTTCCAAAATTCAAAAACTATTATCTAATTCAGCAAAGTCAGACACACCATTGACAACTGAACTAGTGAAATTCCAACATATGTCTTTATTGTTTCACTTGCATCTTACTTGTTAATGTAAACAAAAGCATCCATCAATGTGTATGTCAGAATCACACTTGGAGAGTCGGCTGCTAAGCATTTACCAGGAGCACACACCACTGGGCTTCCATGTGGGATTCCTCGTTTAGTCCAACTCCTTTTGCTTCTCAAAACCAATTTTCGTCTCAGGACACTTCTCCCATCAGCCTATGCATTTTCTTCTTGCCATCGTTCACAAAGGATTAGGTCTTATACTTTAGGATGTTTCCCTCAACTCTGAGACAGACGTTTGCTAAGGCACTTCTGACATTTGCAGAATGAATCCTCTCTGCTGCTTTCTGCATGCTCTCCTGTTTGAGCTCCACAGCTTTTGTTTTTATCCAGGCTTTATTATCTCTGCCTTTTAATTCAAAGTATTTACTTAAAGTAATTACTGATGTATTCAGATTTAAATCTTACTATTTATTTTTTATTTGTCCCATCTGTTCTGTGCTTTCACTCTTCTCTCTTGCATTTTAAATGAAAAATTAATCAAATTTTTTTTATCATTGCATTTCCCTTTTGATTAGTTTGTTAATTAAACATTATTGGCTGGGTGCGGTGGCTCATGCCTGTAATCCCAGCACTTTGGGAGGCCAAGGCGGTAGGATCGCTTGAGCCCAGGAGTTCAGAAATAGTCTGGGCAATAGAGTGGGGCACCATCTCTACAAAAAATAAAAATAAAAATATTAGCTGGTTGTAGCATGCACCTGTAGTCCCAGCTACTCGGGAGGCTGAGGTAGGATTGCTTGACCCAGGAGGTTGAGGCTGCAGTGAGTGGTGATAGCACCAGTGCACTTCAGCCTGTGTGTGTATATATTTATACACACACACACACACACACACACACACACAATTATTTTACTACCCTTTTTGTGGTTCCCCTAGAGATTACAACATGCATCTTAATTTGCTAGGATCAGATATAAATTTATATTTTTACCAATGAAGGGACTACAGAATATTTTAGTTCCCTTTACTCTTTTCCTGCTTTTTGTGTTATTATTGTCATGAAGGTTTTTTTTTTTTACATAAACACCTTAATATAAGTGTTTTTATACAGTCAGTATTCATTATATATATATATCCACATACTTTTCTGGTTTTGGTATCAAGGTAATGCTGGTTTCATAGAATTAGTTGAGAAGTATTCCCTGCTTCAATATTTTAAAAGTGTTTGTGTAGAATTAGTATTGTTAACTGTTTGGTAAAATTTCCCAGTGAAGCCATCTGGACCTGAAGTTTTCTTTGTAGGAAAGTTTTAAACTATAAATTCAACCTCTTTAACAGATACAGCACAATGCAAATTACCTATTTCTTTTTGATTGAGCTTTGGTAGTTTGTGCTTTCATGGAATTTTTCCATTTTATCTAAGTGTTGAACTGATTGCCATAAAGTTGTTATTTTACTCTTTTTCTATCTTTTTAATATGAATAGCCTTTGTGGTTATGTTAACTCTCTCATTCCTGACAATGAAAACTTGTGTTTTCTTTTTTTTTTTTTCTCATCAGCCTGGGTAGAAGTTCACCTCCTCCCTGAGCCCCCCAACCTCCCACCCACCAAAAGAATCAGTTTTTGGTTTCACTGATTTTCTTTACATTTCATTGATTTTTGCTCATGTATTATTTTCCTTCTTCTGCTTATTTTGGCTTCATTTGCTCTTTTTTTTTTCTTTTTTCTCTTTTTTTTTTTTTTTTTTTTTTTTTGAGGTGGAGTCTTGCTCTGTCACCCAGTCTGGAGTGCAATGGCGTGACCTCAGCTCACTGCAACTTCCACTTCCCAGGTTCAAGTGATTCTCCTGCCTCAGCCTCCCGAGTAGTTGGGATTACAGGCGCCCGCCACCACACCTAGCTAATTTTTGTATTTTTAGTAGAGACAGGGTTTCACCACGTTGGCCAGGCTGGTCTCGAACTCCTGACCTCAAGTGATCCTCCCACCTCGGCCTCCCAAAGTGCTAGGAGTATAGGTGTGAGCCACCGCACCCGGCCTGCTCTTCTTTTTTTAGCTTCTTAAGGTAGAAGTCAAGATCACTGACAGGACTTGAGGGCAAGAATCCCAAATAGAAGGGTAGTACATTTTGCATAAGTTTTCCTTTCAGTGAATCTGCTGATCTTAAAAGCTTATGTATAAGAGTTGAAGAAACAAAGCAAAGAGCAGCAGCTTAGAACCTGGGAATCCAGGTGAGTCTTCCAGCAATCTCTCAGGCTAGGTGACAGAAATTAGAGATCAGTTCCTACCAATGAGGAGAGGCCCTGGTGTACCTTCCAGGCTTCCTGTTAAGATGCTGGAAGAGTAACAGCACAGGTGTAAGTTGGAAATACAACAGCATGCACAAAGGACTGAAACTCAGCTTCAAATGAGCTCATTCCAGACTGGATTAAAGTGATCTATTCCTACTCTGCCTATCTGCCAAATAGTAGTAAATATCTAGAAAACGAAAACACTGGCCAGAGACTCAAATTACACTTACAATTTTCAAATATAGTATCTGGCATTCAATCAAGTAATTACCAGACATGCCAAAAGATAGGACCAGTTGAACAAAACCAAGGAATAAAACAGACTTGAGAACAGACTCACAGATGATACAGATTAATTAGAGTTATCAGGCATAACTTTAAAATAACTGTGATTAATTTGTTCAAGACAATACTGGGCACAATGGAGAATTTCACTACAGAAGAATTATCAACAATAAAAAGAATAAAATGTAAATTCTCCACCTGAAAAACACAAATTGTTGAAATTAAAATTTTGCTAAAATTAAAAACTGAATAGACAATGAAGAAAAGAGGATTAACTAAAGGACAGGTCATTAGAAGATATCCAGAGTGAGCAGAGACTTAAAAAGGCTGGTTTCACCAGTATATGCAAATGTTAAAACTAATCAAATGGCACACTTTCAACATATGCAATTTATTGTATATCAGTTATTCCTCAGGCATGTATTGTTGCTACAATGGAACAAGAATCATGGTGGCATCATATTTCTTTTCTGTGAAATCATTTTCTAGAAGACAACAGAGCAATAATTTGAAAATTCTCAAAAACTACTACTTTCATTCTAGAATTCTACGATTAACTAAATTAGCAATTATGTGAGGACTGTTTTTAAACATGCAAGTCGCAGAGTATTTACATCCTGGGCACATTTTTTGAAAAAATCTTAATAAGGTATCATAAATAGAAAATGGAGTACAAGAAAAAAGACTGAAGCTTCAAGAAACAGTGACACTTACCTAAGAGTGTGACAAAAAGAAATTCCAGAATGACAGATAAGCAGTAGGCTTGGAAAGCAACTAGTTCCAACTGGACCACGGAAAAGTTATCTTACAGAAGACAGTGAGTTTTATCAAAAGGTTGTATGGTGAAGAAGATGAATGTTTTAATGTTATGGTGAATGTATGTATTGTATATATTAAAATTAATGTGTATAATGTATATATTGAAAATAAAGAAGAAAGGTAATTAAAAGCCTAGGTGGGCACTGTACAAGAAATGTGAAGCAACTAAAATAAAGTACAATTTTCTCTGTGCATAAGAAAGATAATTAATTTAATGTGATACCTGGAACATTCTCCTTCAAGAGGTAGTGACATAGGATTCTGTTTCCTTCTCTGAGGTTCCAATAACACTGTTTGACTTCACAATTCACCATATTTTCACAGTCCACTGTATATGTTCAGTGTATAATAATTTAATCAAATGCTATTTTTTTCTAGTTATAGTTACAGAGAAGAATATAAATGCCTTAAATATCAATGTTGTAAAAATAATGAAATACTAGCAGATGTTGCAAAGTAAAATTAGAGAAAGAAGGAAGAAGGAACTGTAAATATGCTTATTTTCTTACTTTACAAAGTGATATACATATATACCTATATTTTATATATATACATATATATTCTAGATTGGCAAAAATAGAGGTTTAAACATATTAGGTAAAATTTGAAAATAACCAAGAGAAGAACTAGACTATTAATAAAATTATCCGTCTCTCATTTTAAGACGGAGAAATATTTCTCTGACCCCATCTGCTTTCTAAAAACCAATCAGGAAAAAAAAAAAAAAAACAAGAATAAAAATGGAATAAAAAACTCTGGCTAAATCAAGAAACACCTATGACCTGAACTTTAATATTTATAAAGAACTGCTGCCAAGTGCAGTGAAGGTCAGACCAGGGTGAGAAACAAAGCCAAGAGGCCATGCTTATGGCTGCAGATCCCACACAGTAAACAGAGCACATTTTTCCAAGTTAGTGATGTATCTGGAGGAGCAAAAGCAACAGTTCCTTGTTTGAAAAAGCCTGAGGTTTAAAACCTGGCTACAGAATTCTCTATGACACCCTTTTGAAACAATATACACATGACATTCCTGCAAGAGAACATTTTGAGAAAGTTCAGAAAGTAAGGTTAATAGGTGGCCTTGAAGCTAGCAAGTCTTGTAAATTAAAATTTTGTAAAGTCTGAATCCACAACAATACACTCCACTGAACCTTACATATGTAAGGCCTCGTTTTAAGTTAGGAGGACTTCTTCTTAGTCCAGACATTGTTCAAAACCTCTGAAATCGCTGGGTGTGGTGGTTCACGCCTATAATCCTAGCATTTTAGGAGGCCCAGGCAGGAGGATCGCTTCAGCCCAGGAGTTTGAGGCCAGCCTGGGCAACATGACAAAAACCTGTCTCTACAAAAAATTTAAAAATTTAGCAGGGTGTGGTGACAGGCACATGTGGTGCCAGCTGCTTGGGAGGCTGAGGTGAGAGGATCATCTGGGCCTAGGAGGTTGAGGTTGTGGTGAGCTGTGATCGTGCCACTGTACTCTAGCTTGGACAACATAGTGAAAACCCGCCTCAAGCAAGCAAGCAAGCAAACACCTCTGATATCTCTCTCACATTTTCTTTCCCCAAAGAAAGTCCTACACAGAAGGAGTTTGTGTCCAAAAATGAGAATACCCAAGAAAAGGAACCAGGGGGTAGTTTCACGACTGTGTAAATATGCTAAAAAAAAAAAATTGAACTGTACAGTTTAAGTAAGTGAAATATATTGTATGTGAATTATATTTCAATAAATCTTTTTAAAAAAAGAAGCCAGGAGACAAATTCATTACAGAAAAAAAGGCAAAAGAGATAAAACAAATTTGGCATTTGCCAGGAAAAAAATTTATTGGATAGTTGAAAATTATCCCACATATTATAACTTCATATGGATTCAAGGAACTTGGTGAAAAAGTGGCCATCATGAAGAAGAGTTCAAAGTGCAGATACAAGAAGTGACAAAAGTAATGAAAAGACAACATAAGAAGGTAAAATGAAGCCCAGGAAAAATGTAGAAGAGAAAAGTAATAACATCACAGACATAGAAATCACAGAAAAAACAACAGATATTGTTGAAAAGCTAAAGAAATGGAAGACAGGTTTAAGAAAACTGAGCACAAGAAAAAAGAATTTTAAAGAATTATAGAAAAAATCATACACATGGGAAACAGCTAAGGGAGAGTTCATGTTCAATTATGGATTCTTCAGATGACAACAAAATAATCAAGCACACAAAAAATTTTCAAAGTGTAATCCAAGAAAATTCTTCTGAAATAAAAGACTTGAATCTATAAACAGGCATAACATCTTTCAGGAAGAAGTAACAAAGATTAATCAGTGTAGAACATACTCTATAAAAGTTACTGGACTTCAAAGATATGATCTTTCAGACAAAAATCAAATTGCTTCAAGGGACAAGATAGAAATCGGGTTGGCTTCATACTTCCTTAAAGCAACAGTCTACATTGCAGAAATTCACTATCTTCAAACACCTCATGGAAAGTATGACTCAAGAATTTTATTTCTAGCCAAAGTATACTTCAAGCATAAAGGCAACATGCAGATGATTTCAAATATACAAATATTCAAAGAACACAGTTCCTAGGGCTCTTTCTTGAAAAAAGCTACTAACAATTAGCTTCGTCAGTTAAAGACAAATGGAGAATGAAAATAATTAAATGTTCAATACAATAAGTTACAAAAAGAATAACAGAGTAATCTCAAGAGCAAAAGAAGGGAAATATTAGTAAAGATAAGACCAACACTTAAAGAACTAGAAAAGAGAAGAACTGTAGGACAAACACCTCCTAGAGAATGTTTTTAAGGAAAAATAAATGGTAAACTTTTACCTAAGCTAATCAAACAACATAAATAAAAAGGGAAGACATGAATAAATAATAAAAATCAGCATGAAGAAATAAGCATAGATATTGAGGAAATTAAATTTTAAGAGAATACATTGCTCAGCTTTATGCAAATAAATGTAATAGATAATTAGCTCGAGAAAAACTAATTATCAAAACTGATCCCAGAAAAGACAAATCAATTTCTAAAAAATTTTACAGGTTAATTATATCAAATATTTAAGGAACATAAAACCTTAATATTATCTAAATGCTTCCAGAGTATAGAAAGGAAAATTTCCAAAATCTTACCAACTCAACATTAACACAGTCCAATCCCTAAACATTATAAATAAGGACATTAGCTGGTAGATTCTAGTCTATTATTAAGCAAATATATATCATGATCAAGAAAGACTCATACAAAAAAATGCAAAGGTGGGCTGGGCGCCTGCAATCCCAGCACTTTGGGAGGCCGAGGCCGGTGGATCACTTGAGGTCAGGAGTTCGAGACCAGCCTGGCCAACATGGTGAAACCCTGTCTCTACTAAAATACAAAAATTAGCTGGGCATGCTGGCACATGCCTGTAATGCCAGCTACTTGTGAGGCTGAGGCAGGAGAATTGCTTGAACCTCGGAGATGGAGGTTGCAGTGAGCTGAGATCATGCCACTGCACTTCAGCCTGGGCGAAGAAGTGAGACTCCGTCTCAAAAAAAAAAAAAAAAAAGCAAAAGTGGTTTATTATTAAGAAATCTATTATTATAACTTACACATAGATCAAAGGAGAAATACTGCATAAACATTTCTGTAGATGCTGCAATTCATCTAACAACATTTAATATCTCTGCTGAATTACAAAAAAAGTGTATTAATGCAATACTAATAGATGAGTAGTTCCTTAACATGAGGAATATACTATTTTATTTCAAAGGCCAGAAACTATACAGTGAGTCTCATTAAAATCAGAAACAAAATAAGGGTGTACATCATTATCACTATTACTTAACTTTGGGCAATACTAGCCAATGTCATTAGAGAAGAGAAAGAAAAAAAATTAAGATCAGAAAGGAAAACAAAGAAAATATTATTATTTGCAGATGAGATGATACTGTGCCAGAAAGCCCAGAAAAATCAACTAAAAAAAAATCCCTATTTCCAAAAGTAAGAAAATTTAGCAAGGTGGTTGAGAACAAAATTAAAACACAAAAATCAGCAGTTCTCTCTATACAAACAATAATCATCTAGAAAATATAATAGAAGTAAGTATCCAATTTATGTTACAAGAAATATAATAGAATCCTTAGGAATAAACCTAAGAAACATGTATTATTCACATGAAGCAAACTTGAAAACATTATTTAAGGCCATTAAAAAAGACTTAAATAAATAATAAGATGTATCATATTCTTAGATAGGGATGATGGTAATGATGACATCCTCTCCAAATAAACCTATAAATTAAACTTTCTATATAAAAACATTGACACCATTATTTTTGGAATAAAGCAAGAAAAAAGCAATAAGGGATAATCAGCCCTGCCCGGTACAGAAAAGCATTATAAAAATTACAGTAATTAAAGTAGTTTGGGACCAGCAGATGAATGGGAATATCTATGGAAAGGAATAGATATCCCAGAAACAGATGTAACTATGTATTGGGATATTGTTTCTGACAAAGTTGGCATTTCAAATCAGTAAAATTGTGTATTTAATAAATGGTATTAGGATAAGAGGGTAGCGATTTGGAAAATATAAAATTTTCTTTCACCTCTTACACCAAAATAAATTTTAGATAGATTAACGATTTAGATTAACTATTTAGATAAGAAAAAAAATTAAAAGAAATTATATAATTGACTTTACAAAAATTTTGATTTTCTTCATGGCAAAAATCCCAATTATATTTTTTATTTCCAAGCATTAATTTAGCCTGTTTTATCAGACCTCTACGGTCTTTTAAAAATATTATTTTTTCTCTTCATATAAATGATTTGAATATTCAATCCCTTCTTTCATTTAAACAGATTAAATACACCTATTTTATAAATCTTGTCTAATAATTCAATACGTGAAGGCTTTGTAAGTCTTATTCAGCTGTTTCTTTTCCGCTGGCACTTAACTTTGAGTGGCATATTGCTTGTTTTGGTTTATTTGTTCATTTTTAGATTCTTGACTGTACTATCATACTCCTTGGAACTTGTCTAAAAGAATTCTTCTTCAGAAGAGATTTGCATTCACTTCAGCAGTGGCCAGGGAGCACAGTCATTTTAAATGATATTCTTGGCTTGAGGATTTGTGGATCACTGAGACGGTACAAAATCAGTGGTATTAGGTAGCGTTTTTGTTCATTTTGATAGGTGGTATTTTCTTCTTTTTAAAAAAGTTCTAAGTATTTTCTAATTTTCACTATGATTTCTTCTTCGATTGATGGATTATTTCAAAGCTTCCAGACTTTTGTTATTGTTTTTTTTTTTTTTTTTTTTTTTTGCTACCCTCAATTACCTTTATGAGCATTCTGCAAGTGAACTTTCATCACTACTGTTTTATTCAGGCCTTGGATACCTCTTGCTTGTAGTAGAATAACCACTGCACACTGTCTATGGCACCAGTGTTGTCTCTCCGCTCATGTTCTTTGCTTTTTTGTTGCTGTTGTTGTTTTAACTGTATGTAATGGCATGTCTAACTGAGATCTTACATAACTATTCCAGAGAAAAATTCACAGACAAAACCTCCTATAGAGGACATCAGGGAGGAATTGAATCACCTGGGTTCACCTGAAACAATAGAGCCCATTGAATCAGGGCAGTCAAACATGCTTCCTCTGAGGACACAGTATTGATTTGTTTAATTTCTGAAAGGTCATCTGCCCTGAGAAAGGAAAGGGAAATTGTTCATTCTCTTCGATGGTCTGTAACCTCATCCCTAACAGTTGCAAGGACATGTGTATGGGGAAGAATCTCTCCTTCTCCTCATTCCCCCTCCTCCACTGCTATACAGACATAACTGCTTGAATTTACGTTCATCACCATGTCCTGAGATGGGCTTTATTTGCCAGACTTCATGTTTTCCATAGAGGCTTGCCATGGGAAAGCCTCTCCTTCTAAGCCCCTCAAATCAACAGATAAGGCATTATTCCCCCATTGGATTCATCCTTGGATTATCTTCAGTTCACTAACAATTCCTGATCAGTATACCTATCTAAGCCTGATTCTAAGTCAGTGTCTATTCACACTGACTTACATATTACCAGCTCCAGAAGGCAAAACACAAGCCAACAGAGTCAAAATCAAGCCAAGTCCAGGCCCCCATTAACTTGTACCAACTGCAGCAACTACCTCCTGACTGATCTCCCTGACTTCTATTCCTCCCACCACCCGCTACACGTCTGCCAGAGAATTGTCCTCAAATAGTACATATTTAAATACCCCCCAAATGAAATCCTTTCCCCCACCAACAATCTTCAGTGGATCCTCTTTGCTTAAAAAATAAGGTACAAATGAAGAGAACCAGAAATGGCAGATAACAAGGTAAATATAACATACTATATAAATATATATGGTTAACCCCCTGTATTTGTGATTTCCACATCCATGAATTCACCCAACTGCAATGAAAAATATTCCTCCACCCAAAAGTGAATGGCTGAGTCTGTACTGAACATGTATGGACTTTTTTTCCTGTCATTATCCCTTTGTAATGGGTATTTACATAGTGTTTACATTGTATTAGATATTGTAAGACATCTAGAAATGATTTAAAGTATACGGGAGGATGTGCGTAGGATATATGCAAATACTACACCATTTTATGTATCAAGGACTTGAGCATTTGTGAATTATGGTAGCTTCGGGAGGCCTGGAACCAATCTCCCATGGATACTGAGGGAAAACTGTACTTGCTTTCTTTTCTCAGCATCTTTAATAGACATAAAGATACATAAAGTAATAATCATACCAACATATTGTTGGGTTTGTAACATTATATATATATATATATGTAACAACAACATAATATATAACATAACACTAATAGTATAAGAAGGGAAGAGAGGGAATAGAGTTATAGGAGTAACATTTCTTTATCTCACTGAGATTAAGTTAGTATAAATCTGAAGTAGGTTATGCTAGCTTAATGTTTATATGGCAAGCCTAGAGAAACACTAAAAATATAACTCCAAAGACATCACAAATAAAGAGAGCGTGTTAGTCTGTCCTTGCACTGCTATAAAGAAATACCTGAGACTGGGTAATTTATAAAGAAAAGAGGTTTAATTCTGCAGGCTTTATAGGAAGCATGATGCTGGCATCTGCTCAGCTTCTGGGTGGGGGAGCCTCAGGAAGCTTACAATCATGATGGAAGGTGAAGGGGGAGCAGGCACGTCACATGGTGAGAATGAAAGCAACAGTGTGAGAGACTAGAGGGAGGGGAGATGCCACATACTTTTAAATGACCAGATCTCATGTGAACTCAGAGTGAGAGCTCACTTATCACCAAGAGGATGGCCCAAGTCATTCATGAGGGATCTGTCCCCATGGTCCAAACACCTCCCACCACGCTGTCTCCAACATTGGGGATTACACTTCAACATGAGATTTGGGCAAGGACAAATATCCAGACTATATCAGAGAAGTATAGACCAATATCTGTTATGCATGCAGCTATAAAAACCCTCAGCAAAATACTAGCAAATCAAATCCAGTAATATATACAAAGGATTGTACATTATATATAAGTTTGCCAGGGCTGCCATAATGAAGTTCCACAAACTGGGTGGTTTAAACAACAAAAACTTATTGTCTCACTGTTCTGGAAGCTATAAGTCCAAGATCAATGTGTTGGGAGGGTTGGTTGGTTCCTTTTGAGGGCACTAGGGAACGATCTGTTCTAGGCCTCTCTTCTACCTTCTGGTAGTTTCTCGGTTTGTGGCAGCATAACTCCAATCTTCACATGACATTCCCCCTGTGTATGTGTCTATATCCAAATTTCCCCTTTTTATAAGGACAACAGTTATATTGGACTAGGGCCCACTTTAATCCCATATGATCTCATTTTAACTAATGACATCCACAATGACCCTATTTGCAAATACAGTCACATTCTGAGGTACTGGGGATTAGGACTTCAACATATGAATTTTTGGAGGTCACAATTCAACCCATAACATACCCCTTGACCAAGCAGAATTTATCCCAGGAATGCAAGATTGGTTTAACATTTGAAAATTAACTAATGTAACATACCATATTAACAGAATAAAAGACAAACCCTGCAAGATCATCTCAATAGATGTAGAAAAAGAACCTGAAACAATTCAATACCCCTTTATGATAAAAATATTTTTAAAAAAAAGGAATAGAAAGGACCTTTTGCAACTTGATAAAGGGTACATACAAAACCCCCCACATAGCTAACATCATACTTCATGATGAAAGACTGAATGCTTTCCCCTGAAGATCAAGAACAAGACAACAATGTCCACTCTCACTATTTCTATTCAACGTTGTACTGGAGGTTCCAGTCAGATAAATTAGGCAGGAAAATTAAATGTAAGAAATTCAGATTAGAAAGACAGAGATAAAACTCCATTCACAAATGGTATGATCTTATAATACAGAAAATCCAGAAAAATCTGCTAAAAAACTATTAGAACTAATAAAATGAGTTCAGCAAGGTCGCAGGATACAAGATCAATATAAAAAATAAATTGTCTTTCTATACAGTTGCAGTGAACATTCAGAAAAGAAATGTAAGAAATCAATCTCACTTATAACTGCATTAAAAATTAAAATACTTAGGAACAGATGTAACAAAAGAAGTGTAAAACTTATATGCTGCAAACAACAAAACATTGTTGAGAGAAATTAAGGACTGCCTAGATAAATGGAAAGACAGCCCATGTTCATGGATTGGAAGACAATATAGGTGTGCCTCAATATTCATAGGGGATTGTTTCCAGAATCCCCCTTGAACACCAAAATCCACAAATGCTCATGTCCCTTATATAAAATGGTATAGTATTTGCATACAACCTATACACATTGCCTCATACACTGTGCTTTAAGTCATCGCTAGATTACTTACAATACCTAATACAATGTAAATGCTATGTAAATAATTGTTACACTGTACGGTTTAGGGAAAAATGAAAAAAAAAAACTCTGTATACATTCAGTTACAGATGCAGCTATCCAGTTTTTTCCAAATATTTTTTATCTGCAGTTGGTTGAATCCACAGATGCAAAACCCATGAATATGGAGGGCTGACTGTTCTATTAAGAGGCTATATCCCCCCAAATTGACCCACATATTCAACACAATCCCTATTAAGATCTCAGCTGACTTCTCTGCAGAAATTGACAAGTTGGTCCTAAAATCCATACGAAAATGCAAGGAACCCAGAATAGCCAAAACAACCTTGAGAATGAAAAACCAGCTGTGGTGGCTTACATCTGTAATCCCAGCACTTTGAGAGGTCGAGGAGTGGATCACGAGGTCAGGAGTTCAAGACCAGCCTGCAAAAGATGGTGAAACCCCACCTCTACTAAAAATACAAAAATTAGCTGGGCCTGGTGGTGTGCACCTGTAATCCCAGCTACTCGGGAGGCTGAAGCAGGAGAATCACTTGAATCTGGAAAGTGGAGGTTGCAGTGAGCTGAGATCGTGCCACTGCACTCCAGCCTGGGCGACAGAGCAAGACTCCATCTCAAAAAAAAAAAAAAAAAAAGGGAAAACAAAATTGGAGGATTGGAGGATTCACACTTCTCAATTTCAAAATATACTACAAAGCTCCAGTACTCATGACAGTATGGTACTGGCATAAACACAGACATAATAAATTGATTGGAATTGATCTCTAGAACACATACATCTATGGTCAACCGATTATTGACAAAGGTACCATGACAATTATTAGTTTGGTGCAAAAGTAATTGCGTTTTAATTACTTTTTTTAAGTAAAGTTTTTATAAATGCCATTAAATGGCAAAAAACACAATTACTTTTGCAGCAACCTAATAATTGGGGAAAGAATTGTCTTTTCAACAAAGAATGTAGGGACAACTGGATATGCATAGGCAAAAGAATCAGTGTGGACCTCTACCTCATTCCACATGCAAATTAATTCAAAGTGGATCAGATACCTAAATTTAAGAGCTAAAACTATTAAACACAAGAAAACAGAGGCATAATTATCCTGACCTTGGATTAGGCATGTTTATTAAATGATACCAAAAGCTCAAGCCCAAAAGAAAAAAATAAATTGACCCTCATACCAATTAAACATTTTGTGCTTCAAAAGGCACTATTAAGAAAGTGAAAAGAAAACTCACAGAATGGGATAAAGTTTTTATTTATCTGATAAGAAACTTGTATTTAGAATATATAAAGAACTCCCACAATGTAGTAAAAATAACCTAATATAAAATATGGTCAGGCTGGGCGCAGTGGCTCACTCCTGTAATCCCAGCACTTTGGGAGGCCAAGGCGGGTGGATCACGAGGTTAGGAGTTCGAGACCTGCCTGGCCAATATGGTGAAACCCCATCTCTATTAAAAATACAAAAATTGGCCAGGTGTGGTGGCCTGTGCCTATAGTCCCAGCTACTCGTGAGGCTGAGGCAGAAGAATCACTTGAACCCAGGAGGCAAAGTGTTTCAGTGAGCCGAGATCGCACCACTGCACTCCAGCCTGGGTGACAGAGCAAGACTCCATCTCAAAAAAAAAAAAAAAAATATGGTCAGAGTCTGAATAGACATTTCTTCAAAGATATGCAAATGACCAATAAGCATATGAAAAAATGCTCAATGTTGTTATTCATGAGGGAAATACAAATTAAAACCACAGTGTGAAACCACTTCACACCCACTAAGGATGGCTACAATAAAAAATACAAACAACAACAAGTGTTGATGAGGATATAGAAAAATTGTAACCCTCATACATTGCTGGTGAGAATGTAAAGTGGTACAGCCACTTTGGCAAGCAATCTTTTGAAGAACTCAAAAGATTAAACATAAAGTTACCATTTAAAGACTCAGTAATTTCACTACTAGATGTACACCCAAGAGAAATGAAAACATATGTTTACACAAAAACTTGTGTTTGAATGTTCATGGCAGAATAATTCATAATAGCCAAAACATGGAAAGAACCCAATGTCTATCAACTCATGAATGGATAAGTAACATGTTGTATATTCATATAGGAGAATATTATTCAGCAATAAAAAGAAATAGACTATTACTACATGCTACAACAGGAATGAACCTTGAAAACATTACACTAAGTGAGAGAAGCCAGTTGCAAAAGACCACGTACTGTATGACTGCATTTATATGAAATGTCCAGAATAGGCCAATCCATAGAGACAAAGTAGTTGTCTGCTAATGGGGGTACAGGTTCTCTTGATGGGGTGATGAAAATGATAATATGTATTGTAATGGTTGCAGAACTCTTTGAATATATTCAAAACCATTGATTGGTACCCTTTAAATATGTGAATTGTATGATATGTGAATTATATCTCAATAAAACTGTTAGCAAAAGAGCAAGATTGTGCAAGGGAAAGTTTCTAGACACAAAATTTTTGATTGCAGACTATTTTCTTTGGTTCTGGCCCTATTCACTCAGGCCAGCAAACTGTATTAGCGAAGAGTTGGCCAAAGCCCAAAGGAACTCTCTTGATCTGTGCTTTGCCCTGAGCAATTTATTTTTAAATAACCCTTTGTCAAATTAGACATACACAGTCTAGTTTTGCATATACTCTCCTAGGGTTTTTGATGTTTTTATCTTAGGAGGACAGGGGCATGGAGGGTATGTTTTCTTGTTTGAAAGATGTGATGGGTTAAGGGCCAATTGTCAGTTTTAGTTTTCTTGGCCCCTGACTCATTCATTTTCAACTCCAACAGCTTCCAGTATCAATCACACAAGAGCCAAACTCTCCATGAGCCAGAGAGATCTCCCCACTGCCCAGAATTTCTAATTTTCTTTCTTTAATGGATATGCAGCCGCTGCTCAGTGCTCTTGGAGATCTAGGTGGGAGGGAAATGATCCAAGGGAACCTTGTAAACAATGAAGAAATAAGAGAAGTTTTGGCGCCTTGGTCACCTGGTGCTGCAACAAATTGTGAGGCCAGGGATAAGGTTCTGGGACTGGATTGCCTTGGAGCTGGTTGGGTTGCACGGGTTAGAGTTGAGTTCCACAAGTAGAGAACAGGAGCAAAAAACAATTGGGGTGGAAGAGTGGGGGGCAGTTCAGGTAAGCTAAGTTAGTTTGAAAGACTCAATTCTAATGCTCTGGAAGCTGTACTGGACTGGTTTATGAAGCTCGCTCAAAGCCCCATAATCCACTATTTACTCGGTCTTGCCTGTATCCCTCCCACCCCTGTCCTCAGCCAGTGGCTCCATGGGAAGCCTGTTTGCTACTACAGTCACGGTGCATGCTGTCTCACCTTAGCTGGGGGTGGTAAGGACCAGACTTCAGTGTGGTCTCCTTCTCACCTGCTGCTGTGGGATCCAAAGTAGCTCAAGCACAAGGGTCTGACTCAACTGGTTCTACTTCCTTAGCAGCTGTCCACAGAAGCCAAGTAATAAAACCTTGAAGTATGGAGGAATCAATGCCTGGTAAGGTGAACATTAACTAGTAAGAAAGAAACAGGAGTCAGGAGGGAGACAGCCAATGAATTCTCTTCCCTACCTTCCTTCCACCCTTCCACTGTTCTGTGCCACCATCATACCACAGAGCTTCTTCCATGACAACCTGGTGACTAAGAAACTGGCAATGTTTTCTTATGAGTCTATGACTAGCTAAGTAACACAGCACTTTGTATTTGCTTTCTCTGCTTCCTGGCTCACTTCCTTTTTTCCCTTCTTCTTCCTGCTCTGGGATTATAACCCCCAATAAAGTATGAGTACATATGCCTTTTTCATGCTCTGTTTTCTCAAAAAAATGAGCTAAGAGCTAAGACAGAGCTCAAGGCCAAACACTATATCTAGAGGAATCAAAGGAAAAGATGGAAGACGCAGGTCTGATGAAGATAGGGGCAAAATCAGAGAAGGAATTAATAAAAAGGGGGTGGTGAGTTTCCTGATTATCACAAATAGTGGCAGATATTAAAGGTTGCTGTCCTCAGAGAGTCCTCAGAGGAAGACGTTAATTACATGCTGTTACCATGTACAGAAATGTATATGTGCAGGAAATGAAGGAAAGTCATGTAGTATAAGGAGAGCCTGTAATAGTGAACTTGATTTAGTCTGGGAGAAAATGCCCTCTGAGGTAAGATCCAATACTGGGACCTGATAAACGGGTGGAAGTGAGAGAGAGGGGAGGCCGTTTCAGGCAAAAGGAATGACATCTACAAAGGCTCTGTAGTGTGAGGTACCATGCTGAGCAGGGGAACAGCAAGAGTTCTTACCATAGAGAAAAGTGTCTCCCAGTTTTGACTTTCATTTTTTAAAACCTCAATCCACAATAAAGACTATATTTTACATTTTAACCCAGTACCAATACACATATATGTGCTCATACAATTGAAACAAAAAGTCATGAAAAAATATTTAACCTTACTGTGTTGGTGGTGGTGGTAGGGGGTTCACAATAGCCACTGACCTTTAAATGTGCATATTCTTTGACAGAGCGGTACCACCAGGACAATGTACGATGGTGCTCACCGCAGCACTGTTTGCAATTGTTTACACACACACAATGAAACATATTAAGGTAGATATGTAGGTACTGACATGGGAACACATACATGCCCAATTACAAAGAGAAAGAGAACAGTGTACATATGATGCCAGTTTGTTAAAAATCTTTACGAAGGAACATATGCATAGAAAAAGGGACAGGGATGTACGAAAACTCTAGAAGGTGGCTACTTAGCAGAGGAGATTTTTATTTTCCAACTTTCGTATTTCATTATTCCTGCCTTTTAGACTACACATATTACTTTTTCAATCAGGAAAAATCATAAAAATACAGTTATAACAAATAGTCCAAAATAACTTGCTGTTTCTTGTGGGTGATAATACAGGTCAAATGACAGTGTGCTTCGTTGGAAATTCAATTATTTTGGTAACTAAAGTAGCAAATTACATCAGATTTGACTAAACTGGGCATCTTGAGTTTTAGCTTCATAAAATCACCTTAACCCTGTGAAACAAAGAATGTGAGTATATCTTAGTTTTGACTTTCACTGGTGTTGCCTTCTCTTTTCATTGCTAAGAGACTTAAACCTGGGAAGCAGGTGGGCAAATGTCAAATGATCAAAGAACCAATCGTTAGGACTGGAGAGAGACATCCAAAAGCGTGCTCCCTTGGGGGAAATTCCCCTAGTTATTGTGGGCCTGGCTATAAGAAGGTGGAAAGTTTTGCAAGAAGTGAAAAGCTTTCAGTAGCACACTTTCATTCGTCTTACTTGATTGCTTTTGCAAAATACTGCAATAAATCTAGAGAGTTATATTTGATCTAATTGCATGGATAAAACTCAACTCTTAAAACTTCGTACCCCACCAACGTGAAGCTATTAAGTTGGTCTCTCCCCCTTCCTCCCTCTGTTACCCCATGTCTCCCTTCACCATTGTATCTTTAACTTTAGATTTTTCTGGTACGATTGGGCTACATAACATTTCAGGCCGCCATATTAGATGGGCCATACAGTTAGGATAAACTCTCTATCTCAGAAGTTTCCCTGAAGCATTTAGAGTAATAATTTACTTCCTTTCTTCAGGATGAGAGTTTCTTCTTTAAAATATTTAAGGTGTGGCTATATAATCCTTAGATTCTTGATATGAGGCAAGAGAACAACAAATCTTTCTGGGGGTGGTTTTTAAATTAATTTCTGAAAAGGTAATGTTTAGTGCTGAAAGGACCAGAGTCTGCTTATCCCACTCTCTCCCTAAATAAGAAATGCAACCTTCATGCACAGAATCATCCTCACCATATAAAATGAGTGAGAAGAAACCTAATCTTTCTTCCTGTGGAACACACTGCTTTGGCAATGAGCCCAGTCATTCAGGAGTTCTCCAAGATCTGTTATTTAAATCCAACTCATTATGACTGATTTGAGGCAGGAAACCAAAATGAAAAGATGGAATAAATATATTTTTGGTTTTTCCATCCTGTCCCTTCTCGCCATCTCCAATTTTAACACAAGTGCTAACTCTGAGGTTGGGGTTAGATATACAGACACCCCAACATAAGCACTCCATTAATCCAAAGCTAAGCTTTCCAAAAGGTCCTGTGGTTTCAGATAAGATGGGATGCCACCATATTCTCAAGTAGACAGCAGCCAGCTGAATTCCAAAATTCTCATGATATTGAACTTAAAACACCCCTTACTGTAGCTTAAATTCCAACTCCTTCAGGCTGAAAACATCCTCACAAGATGTGCTCTTTTTTATCCCTAGAACCTGGCACAGGGTCTCACGGGTATTCAGGAAATGTCTTCTGAATGAAACTCTTAGGTCTATAGGTCTGTGTTTCCCCTATCTTTCCTCACATTCCACAACTGTGGCTACTCAATCACTTCTCAAAGCCCTTCTAGTTTGCTCGTAATTAAAAACAATTTATGTATAATCCATCGGGAATGTATTTTTGTTTGTAGTGTGGCAATATAATTTTGCCCCAATCTGAAGTGCCATTTCTTTACATTATATTCCCATTGATTCTGAATTTTTTTTTCCCCTCACTTCGATAAGCTGGTCTATGAATTGTTTTATTCCACTCTTCTTTTCCTGTGTTAGTAACATACTATTTAAATGATGGCAGCTTTAGAGTATACTTTAATAGCAGGGCAAAGTCTCCCAAACCATACATACAACTCAATTATTCTTTTTTTTTTAATAGAGACAGGGTCTTGCTGTTGCCCAGGCTGGTCTCGAACTCCTGAGCTCAAGCAATCTGCCTGTCTCTCAGCCTCCCAAAATGCTGGAATTACAGGTATCAGCCACCACACCTGACCTGAATTATTCTTTTGAAGTATTGACTTGATTTTTCTCACATACTTTTCCAAATAAGTTTTATTTTTAAGTTTAAATAAACATTGGCAAAGCCTATTGGAATGATGATTAAAATTGTGGCAAAAAAGATCATTTTTGGAGGACTGGTTTTTCTAGAGTACTAATTATAGCCTTACAATTTAGGAAAATGGTATACCTTAATATTTTCTGCTTTTTAAATATTCATTAGTAATGCTTTATAATTTTTCTTCATATTCATCTTTTATATTGCTTGTTAGAGTTTAATGTTTTTTTTTTTTTTTGAGAAGAAGTCTCGCTCTGTCGCCAGACTGGAGTGCAGTGGCACGATCTCAGCTCACTGCAACCTCTGCCTCCTGGGTTCAAGCGATTCTCCTGCCTAGCCTCCCAAGTAGCTGGGGCTACAGGTATACACCACCACACCCAGCTAATTTTTGTATTTTTAGTAAAGAAGGGGTTTCACCATGTTGGCCAGGATGGTCTTGAGCTCTTGACCTCGTGATCTACCCGCCTTGGCCTCCCAAAGTGCTGAGATTTCAGGTGTAAGCCACCATGCCCGACCAAGTCTAAATATTTTATAGTGTGTTGTAATGAATAGGGATCTTTACTCCATCATATTGTTTTAACATGATTTTTTAGATGTTTATTTTACATTGAACCATTTTGTGGAATTCTTAGATGTTCATTTATTCACCCAATCAATATTTATTGAGTAATTGTCACATGCTGGGCATTTTTCTAGATATAGGGGATAAAGTAGGGAACAACATAAATGTATATTAAGGAATACACTTTGCTGTAAGCCCCCACCCCGCTCCCCTCAGCTTAAATGAATGAGGAGTTTTGTTTTTTTCTAACAAAATATGAAGTCCAATGCAGGCAGTTTGGGGCTATTTTGGTTACTCCATAATGTCAAGATAAATTTGGAAATTTTCAGTCTTTCTGATGTAATCTCCAGCACCTTCAGCATTCTATCTGCATTCCAAGCAGGAAGGAGGGCAAGGACAAAGGTTAAGAAAAGCATGATAGCTGAGCTGCCTGTGCTCCCCACACTTTCTAACTTTCCTAGAATTCCATCCTATGACTTTTGCCTACACGTAATTGGTCATGTTCACATCCATTAGCCACGTCGTTGCTCCTCTCCAGGCAGGATCTTCTTAGAAAGAAGGGGAGAAATCTGAACAAGCATCTAGCAGGCCGTGCCATGAGAAAAAATTCTTGCTCTTATGAAGTTCAAAAATTTTATAGCTGATGGTCTTGGATTTCAACAACTCAGCCCTTGGACCCCTTCTCTGCTTTATCTCCACTTATCCCATTGGTGGTCTCATTCAGTCTTACGGCTCTAAGCAGTTATGCTAGTAACTATCAAATTCACATTTCCAGTCCAGCCCACTCCCCTGAACTTCAAACTCACACAGCCAACTGCCTAACTTGACATCAGCACTTGGATGTCTAATGAGTATCTCAAATTTAACCTGTCTAAAATGAATTCCTTTACCAAAACTGTTCCCCCACTAGTCTTCTCATTTCAGTAGATAATTCTATACTCCTGATTGCTTAGGCCAAAAACCTTGGAGCCATCCTAGACTGTCTGTCTCACATCTTATGCCAGGAAATCCTGTTTGGCTCTACCTCCACCTAACTACATCCAGAATCCCACCACTTCTCATCATTTTTACCACTAACACTCTGATCCAAGCCACCGTTATTTTAGCCTGCATTACTGAGACAGCCTCCTAAAATCATTCTTCACATAGATAATCCTTTCTGAGTTCTCAGCTCTTTTCTTTGAGAGAGGGTCTCGCCCTGTCACCCAGGCTGGAGTGCAGTGGCACAATCACAGCTCACTGCAGCCTCAACCTCCTGCATAGCTGGGACACAGGTGTGTGGCACCATGCCTGGATAATCTAATTTTTATACAGATGGGGTCTCCCTATATTGCCTAGGCTGGTCGTGAACCCCTGGGCTCAAGAGATCCTCCTACCTTGGCCTCCCAAAGTCCTGGGATTATAGGCATGAGCCAGCACACCTGCTCAAATTCTGTTCTTGACAGACCAGAATTTCTTTTCTTTAATTGATCTTACCTTATCCTTTACTTCTGCTACTTATCCCACTATCATTCCCTATGCTGTCAGTACCAAAAACTGCAACTCCTCTGTAATCTCAAGGTTATGCACTCCACTTTTGACAAGTATTCTTACCTAAACCCAGTATTTCCTTTATTATTCCCACTCCAACATCCCTCCAACTTCATCAGGGTCTACAATCCTTTAATCCCATACTTTCCCACTGCTCCTCACTGTCCCCTTATACTCTCATTTTTCTTCTTAAGCTTAAATTCCATGGTCAATAGTTTCTTTGTCCACGTGCCCTCAACTTCTTTGTCCTCTTTATCATATTTGTTTGGCAAACCCCCAAACCTGATTAAATCACCTCTCCACCTAATCTGGGCCTGCATCCACACAGCTGATGGGCTGGAGAAAAAAATAAGTTAACTGATCCTAGATTCAATTAAAGATCAATAACCTCAAGTGAAACATTTAACACTGCCTAGAAGTCACGCTGTTTCCCTAGGCTTTTCACTCTCATTCTCATCCGTTCCTCACACTTTCTCTTCAAACCTCCAATTCCCTTTCTCTTCAATGTTCAGTCTCATATGATGGTATTCCTTCATAATTCAATGAGAAAACTAGAAGAAATTCAGAGACTTTCCATGAGCTCCTACATTTGCCTACCTACATCTGTGCTCATATACTTAGTCCTTTCTCCCACTAATATGAATATACTCTTTGTATTCCTATGTTAGACCAACCCCTTGTGCACTAGATTCCATCTGATCTCATTTAGTCAAGGATATCTTTCCAGTAATTCTCCCCTCTGTCTCCTGTATCATATTTTCCTATTTTACTGGATCATTTCCATTTGTATACATTTCTTTTGTCTTAAATTTTGACTCCATTTCCCCCTTCCAACCACTATGCTATTTCTCTTCTTCCTTTACAGCTAAACTCCCTAAAAGAACTGTCTAAATTCACTGTCTGCAATCTAACTCCTCCTACTCTCTTAAGCCCACTCCAATACAGCTCATTCAATTTACTGGGAAGAGTTATTATTAAAGGTCAGTAAAATTTGTCCTAGTTTTGGTCATCTTTCACATCTCAAATCCCACTGAATTACTCTGACTTTTCTAAGTCAACCCATTAATTAGATGCTGTCTCCATTATATCACTTATCTGATTGTAATTTTACATTTTTATATGATTATTTAATTATACTTTCTTTCTCAATAGACTCTAAGCTCCATAAGGACAAGGATAATGACTATTTTTTTCTTTTTCTCTTCTTTTCATGCTCCCTACCCCTACCTATTTTTCCTATCACAATTTCTGGTCAGTGACTAGCACAATGCCTGGCACACAAGGAGGCCACCAGTAAATGTATATGGGAATAAATGCTTTCTCATATGCCATTTTAAGTTTGGGAAAAGGAGGTCTGCAGAAGTAAAGATACCAGCTCAAAGGCACACTGTGGATTACTAGTAGAATAGGGACTAGGAATAGAATATAATGCATCACCATGCACACTTTGCAGTTATAAATGAGATGTGGCTCCTCATTTTATAGCTTAGGCCTTATACCAGCCTCCACCATGTTTGGGCTGGATGGGACAAACTATGCAATCTAGTGCAATGTCAAGTCCTTATTGTGTCCATGAAAGCTTAGCTGCCAGGTCAACAGAGCAGCTTTACACTGTCAACTTTTCTTGTTCCTATATCCGAAGTGACCAGGGAGAAGGCCTCTTCCCCCACAGAATTCGTGTGAACTTGTATCTCGAGCTTCAGAGTAAGAGTCTTCAGGTACACATCATTCATTACTGATCTATAGATTATGAACCTGGAAGAATATTGGGAGGAGTGAGTAGGAAGATCAACTTAAAGTTATAACATTAAGATATATCCACTATCAGTTAAAGACCACTAAGAAACAGAGGAAAAGCATTTCAGAAATGAAATTGCTAGGCAAATAGTTGTATATATCAAAAAAGTTGATATATGCAACTTTTAAGGAACCTACTGCATTAAAAAGATCTACATACACCAGTTGGATATGTATTTTGAAAACAGCAAACCACCAGGTAGAACTATCACGAAACATAGTCACAGTCACTACTTAGTGACTACTACTAGTTGACCATATGATTTATCATCCAAAATGGGGCACTCTGAGAATAAAAAGAGGCAATATTAAAAATTATGCCAGGACAATGGGTGTTTCCTAGGCAAATGAACAAGACTGGTCGTCTTTAGTAACTATCCCCTACTTATCACGCATGGAGAAAACCAGACACTCATTCAGTCATACAAATATCTTCATCAGGCAAATCAACAGCAGCAGCAGTAGTCAGAATGAACAGGATACCAGTCCACTGTGGGCTTTATTTTGATCCTGAATGGTCATGCTAATCCTTACCATCTCCACTAAATAAAAATGGAATAAGAGTCACTTCCTTTATATACTTGTTTTTCTTGTCCCTTCACACCTGATCTATATTTGATCTTTAAAACGGCCATTTCTATCCCCATTTGAAGTTTAATTCTGATTTAAGAAAGGACACACTCTTCTATGCTAAATCAAACAAAACCATTCTTCAAATTTTCAAAGGCTTCCCTCTTCTCCAAAGGTTGCATAAACCATATCTTTTTTCATCAAGACTGACTTCTAGGTCATTCACTGAATCAACATAGCAAAAAACAAGTCACTAGCCACAAACATTTATTGTTGGGGTCAATACGTATATCCTTTTGAGAAGTGTTTCGAGCCATTCATTTGATAACTACAAACACGTCAGAATCTGTTTTACTGGTATATTTTTGGCTTGCATGACAAGGGAAAAGAGATTATTGCAAAATTATGAATGAAGTCCAAAAGGCCTGATTAAAAAAAAATCTATAAAATGGAAGGATTAAACACTGCCCAGCCCTACTGTGTCAACAAAGACGGTACAATTCAAATCAAGAAGACAATCCCATACAAGTCCAGCAAGGCAGATGTTGGCAAGTAGAAGTTAAGCAATCTGTTATACAAAATGCAAAAGGAGTTAAAGATAAATTACAAAAAATAAAAAACAAAATTTTAGTCAGAAAACTATTACTACATAAAGCCATATAAGAATGTGTATTAGTTGTTTCCTTTAAGGGAAAAGGAAATCAAACTGTTGGTTTTCTATTTATTCAGAAGAAAAAATAAAGGAAAGTGTTTGGAAAATATTTCTGATATTAAGTGAATTATTTCTCATCTGCTACCTAGAGTTTACAAACAACTGACTTATCCTTGTCAATCTGTGGAAATGAGAAAATAAAATCAGCGTCTGGCCTTCGTGGGATACTCATAACACCCGAATGAGGTCCAGAGTAATCCTAGATCGGGGGATGTCAATGTTGAGTACTTGGACTTCCACTCTTTCTCCGGGGCCCAGTCCAAGGCTTCTTCTCTTCTTTGTTTTTGAAAGTTTTGCTTCTGTTACATTTCGTATGGGAATCAGCCCAGATTTCCCCACTCCTATATCCACAAAAATTCCAAAGAGAGTGGCATTCTCAACTTTGCCTGTAAGAACTGTCCCAATCTGCAGATCTTCCAGGCATACTATGCTTCTCTTGAAATCAGGTTTATCAAAATCTGTAAGAGAAAAAAAGTAAGTGTAAATAAGGCATTGTACTTCCTAGATACAACATAACTTTGTGAATAAGTACTTACTACATACTATGTGCCCAGACCAATATTAAAGATTAAGGGGGGATTATAAAAGGAGCTGCAGACCAACGCTTGCCTTCAGAGAACATGCATATCAGTTGGAGACAGCATTCATGCAGTAGAAACAATTCAAGAAAATTTACTTCCTTCTACAATGCTACACACTAGCATTATACATAAGGATCGAGAAGACAGTCTTATTTTCCTCTTTGTGAAGAGGTGATGAGAATATATATTTGCTTAACAAATATACAAAGCTAAACCACAAACACTGAGAAAGTAAGACCTTTGGAAACAAGAGACTGGAAGCTTTTTTTTTGGTTTTTCCCCCAGTGCCTGGATTATTAAATTGTTTAAAGATGGTAGAAAGTACATCAACTTTTGGCCAAATGTGGATGAAATTCAAATGTTCTTTCTTCCTCACTTCTTCCCACAAATTTGGAACTCAGAAAATCAATTCCCACCTATTTCATATATATTTATCCAATCAACATTTATGGATTCTTGATTATCTATGGCTCAGAATCCCAGACCAGGTAGTATCTAATATTCTTTCTCTTCTTTCAATTAAATTCATCAAACATTTGTTAACTCTATTATCTCCTGGCCAGGCACTCTGCTGGGTGCTAGAGAAACAATGATGAAGATACAGATTTCTGTTTCCAAGTTCTTTATAGCCCTTTTTTCTTGCTCACCCCAGCATACATTTCTTTGTTCATTATTGTCCAAAAGGTAGGCATAAAGCATGCCAAGGAATCATTATGGTTCTAGTTAAAAACAAAGGTTTTTATGAGGGAGACAGTTAGAGTTAGAACTAACAGTTTAAACGGGGCTGTGGATTATCTGTGGACTCCATTTATCCATGCTCCTCCTGAAGGCCCCCTTTCCTAGGATTACTGAGTGTTGACTCTAATAACAAAGAACACATTCTATGCTTGGATCTCCTTTTACTAAGGCCTCATTTTCCCCTCCACCCATTCCATTTCCTTTTCCTCCACAGCTGTTGGCTTTATCCTGATGACTTGTTAAAGCTATCCTTTACATTTGTATTAACAACTGGTCACCCCTTTCTTCCCTTCCCCCAGTCCAACCATACTGATACCAAGACGTTTTAAAAATTAAGCTTTTTCTTATAAAACAAAATAAAAACCTTCTTTAAACTCCAAATCTCACTGTACACATAAAAATGAGTACGCTAAAATTGGAATTGATTCTGTGGAATTTTACCTGATGCTAAAGCAGTGAATTCCAAAAGCAAGAAACCTACTGTAATGTAATATTACACCAGGCTAAGGCTGTGTCAAAGCAAAGTGGAACTAAGTCACTGATCAGGGGCAGAGGTAGGACGGGTCTCCGAGACCCCATAGGCATTGTTTTTATGCTTGGAAATTCTTTCTCTCTCTCTCTTTTCTTGGGGAGGTCCAGCTGCTGCAGATTCCCTAAGGGTTCCTGATCAGCTGTTTAGTTTAATCTTGCAAGGAAAATCAGAGTCAGGAACTACTTAACATATTCCTGAAGACAGTTGGGGACACTGAGAAATCAGAAAATCCTCTGTGTACCATGCAAACTTTAACACTTTCATAGCCAAGCATTTTCAGCCCCTGTGTCTGGACTGCTTCTAATAAACCCAGTTAGGGAAATTAACTAGTCACCATAGTGTTAATACACATGAAATTAATTACACCATTGACAAAACAAAAGACAGAATTATTATGAGTAAAGAATGAGGCATTAAGAAAGGAAATACTTTTGAGAAAATGGAGAAAAGAGATGTAACATAAAATATCATCACGTGGAAATGCCCAAAATACTATCTGCCCCCTCGAAAGTATAGTTTGTAAGCCTTCCTCACCTTGGGTATGTGTTTAGTAGTAAGATGAAAGTTCTCAGACATTTTGAAAATTGTGACTTACATTAGAGCAAAGGTCAGTTCCAAAGTTTTTTTAAAGAGACCTATTTAAAACTTCACTTGCCACACTGATAGAACACTGCAGTAAGTGGAAAGCTCAGTCCAGAGCCCAGATGCATCTGTCTTTTTGCTCAACAACTTGGTAGTTTAATTGGACCATATAATTTGAGTGTTGATCTTTGCTCTGAGTCTACAATGCAACTGGGATAATGGAACAATCGACACTATGACAGAAAAATGAAGATGGATGTGAAAAATCCAGTACAGGATACCTGCAGTTACAGCATTTTTTGCCAACCCTCTAATGCAAAGGGTGCAGCCATACCACCTCCAAATCCAGTATTTTTGAGAACCACTGCTCCACCTAGTACTCCTGCTAAAAACCAGCCCAGAAATTCCCATAAAAGGATACTGGGCCTCCAAATGGAGATGGATTTGTCTGCTGAAACATCCACATTGTGTGGAGGACTACTAGGAGGCTTCTACTCCCACATTTTTGGCATAGTTCTTACTGGGTGTCATTTTATTTTTCTTTAACTTAAAAAAAAACAAAACAACCCTACAGAAGAAGGAATAGTACAATGAACTTGCTGGATGTATTTCAAAACTCCTTTAAACCTTTTCAAAGAAGTATGTCTAACCATCTCAATGCAGCCTAAACCAGAATAAAAAGAGCCAAGCCCTAAACACGGAATCATCAAAACTGGTTATAAGACCAGTGAGCGGATTCATTTAAATCTCAGGGGTTCCTATTCAAACTTCCTTGGGAAGTAGGTCATTTGATACTGTAATTCTTTTTCACTGGGTCACTGCTCTCAACAACTATGGTTGTTACATGGAAGTATAATTCCCTCACCATCTACCTGTGCTGAAAGCTGAGAGCACTTTTAATTAGAAGGAAAATCAACAGAGATATTATCTTATTTGTTCAATGGGTTCATTGACACAGAATCCAAGAACTTGGAAAGCTATAATTTAGGAAGAAGATTCACCTTTTAGCTTGTGAAGGGACTGCTTTACCTTGCACTTCTGGCTCCCAAGAGATAAAGACAACTTACAAAAGGACCATAAAAAAATGTGTGTCTCCATGCATACAGCAGTACATGCATGATGCATTTCGTTTAGTAAATGGGAAATACACAGTGAACAAGGGGTCCAGGGAGACCACCTGGCTTCTAGCTTTGGCTCTGGATATTAATTATAATGACTTTGAAGGAAGATCACCATGCTTTATTTTTCTCATGTATAAAATGGGAGAATAATATCCATTCTGCTTATGGCATAGGATTGCTGTGAGGATCAAAGGAGATAATGGGAGCTATGCAAATGCAAGGTGCTATAATTCAAGTTCAACTGTTTACCTGTTCGAAAGTCAAAGCTTTCAGGCTGGCTGAGACCATCTATGATGACCTGTAAGGTGTGTACTGTTGTTTGCAATCTTTCTGCAATTTTCTCCATTCCTTCCTTTTCAAGGAATGAATTTATTTTTTGTTGCATTTCAGGCTTTCCAACCTCATACAGTGTCCCTCCAATGGATGACAAAAACCTGCAGTGGAAAAAATAAAAAGCGCAACACTTAACAATATTACTCCTTTTGCAATCTCCTTATACAGATCACCCTAAAATTCATTCATCTTAGACCCATAGGTCAATCAATCAGTCTTTATTGAGAATCTATTATGTGTCCTGTGCTGTAAACTGTCCTGAAAAAGAAAAGGCTGAGGGAGAGGGAGAAAGTGGATTAAAGATTTTTGTGCTATTTATCAAATGAAGCACCTGCTCAGAGTCAGCACCAAAAACATTTTTTTGTTGTTGTTGAGACAGTCTTGCACTGTCACCTAGGCTGGAGTGCAGTGACAAGATCTCAGCTCACCACAAGCTCCGCCTCCTGGGTTCACGCCATTCTCCTGCCTCAGCCTCCCGAGTAGCTGGGACTACAGGCACCCGCCACCACGCCCAGCTAATTTTTTGTATTTTTAGTAGAGACGGGGTTTCACTGTGTTAGCCAGGATGGTCTCGATCTCCTGACCTCGTGATCTGCCTGCCTTGGCCTCCCAAAGTGCTGGGATTACAGGCGTAAGCCACTGCGTCCAGCCAAAAATATTTTACACTATAATATTCATTATAAGTTTAGTGTCACATATATTTTAAAAATGAGGCTATCTGTTCCCTACAATTTCAATTAGGAAAACATTTTATTTAAATTAGCTAATAGGCAAACGATGAAATGATACCAAACTCTAACAAAATGTGCATTACATATTGCCAGCTTTTGAAAAATGAATTACTCTATTCATGTGTCCTATCACTGCTTTTTACTTCTGTATACCCTTGATGGCAGTATTACCTGTGCAGCATACCATCAGCTTAATAACTCTCAAATTCCGTAACAGTTGAGCCTCATATAAACTAAATTATATCAAGTCTATTCAGTATTCAGAGTCAACAGAAAAAATATAGGAGGGGATATCAAAAAGAAAAAGTAACTTTCTTCCAAAATGGAAGCAGGTAAAACTTCCATTATACTATCTAAAGATGAATATTATCTTTATATTCTTTATACATTATGTAACTGTAATATTTGTAAAATAAAAACATCTGCCTTTTATAATTTTCTTTTACTATGTTTACCATTACCTTTGATTGCAAAGCTACCTCTCAATTACTTTCCTTTATAATTCAGTAAGAAGAAAAAAAGAATTGAAGGGTTAAGATGCATTTCCCTTTAATTTCATGTGAATACTGGGCTGTAGCTTACTTTCTTGACATTCCTTGGCTGGGTATTTTTCTACACCATTAAGTTCCATTTCCTATGATTAATGGCACTTTAAAAATGTCAACACAGTAATCAGGCAGATAGTGATACTAATGCCCTCAAATCCTTTCCTCTAGGGATACCTCTGGAATACAAAAAGAGAAAAAGGGAATTGTTGGAGGTTTGTCTATAATCAGAATGGGGATATATCCTATTTGGCAGGTTGCTGCACTATCAAAAAAAGAATGCTTGTGATTTTAAGTCTTTTTTGCATTGTTGTGTTCAACCAGAAAGGTCTCTTCACAGTGATACTCTGATAATAATAATCTGGCATCTAGTGGAGAAAGTTCTCCCATCTCTCACTTAAGTAGGGCATCTCTTTGAATTCAAATGTGCAACACTCCTACATTATTACAGCCATATATATGGCCAAAAATAGACACACTTTATGGTATCCGACTAATTCTCTTGAGAATGTATTTTGGTTAATAGTCTAATAAAATACCAAAACGTTGGTGTTTGGTCTCCCTCTTTGAAAATGAGCTTTCATCCAAACTGGTGTCCAGTGAGATAACACTGTAAGTCTGTATGTCTGTGGCTTCCACAGCATGGTGGAAAGGCAGCCGGTATCTCTTAGTGCTGATGGACGAACAGTAGCATACAAGGGTCCCGGTGACAAGGAACAGCTGCTGGAGCTCTGACTGATGGGGCGGATGACACATGACAACCTCTGCCGAAATCCAACTTCCTTATACAACTTTCTAAATAATGCGTGCCCTGCTGAGCAGGCTTCCCTGGTATTCACCTTCTTGGTTTTATTGGTCTGCAACTGGCTACTTAGCGGAGTATCTTTCAAATCCTCAAGATTCTGGCTTCTAACCATCTGTTAAAAATGACAGAATGTATACTAATGCGCTGTAAGTCTAGAATCTTGAATAGCATTTTATAATTAATAAAAGTAACTAAATGGCAGAAACTTCCCAAAGCACTGTATGAGTCTATCTTAAGGTTGCTTGCACATGTGTATGTGTGTGTGTGAGACAGAGAGAGAGGGAGAGAGGAACTAACTACTACCAAAGTCACTTCCAAATAAAGAATTCTGCCTATAGTGGTTGCAGATGTAACAAGAACATTTGTCTGTTTAACCTGGGTGCGTATTTCATATATCATTTTCATTCTCACACATATAAGCCTGAGGGCATTAGTAACTGAAATCAATAAAAAAGCACCAACTTGTGCTCCTAGCTAATGCTTCATATTGATCAACCTATTTTTAAATTACTACAAAGTCAAGTGCTTTTTTATTTTGAAAACTTTCTTAAAGTTAACAAGGTCACGCACACACACACAAAGAGCCAACAACAGACAGAGGAACTGTAAAACGAACTGGGAATAGCATTTAGACTGACCTCTACCTTAATGAATTTTAAATATAGTCAACTGTACATGATAGGAAACAATGTTTTATGCTTAGTAGCCATTCAATAAACATATGTTCCTTAAATATCCTAAGAAAAATTTATTCTACATATTCTAAATTTCACTTCAGAATTAAGTGTGATAAGTAATATCCAATACAAAGTTTCACTTTAGAATTGAGTGTGGTAAGTAATACTCAATACAAAGTACTTTCTGGCTCAAAAGTACCAAATAAAAACACACTGCTTTATGAAGCTTGGCATACAGAAGTGAACAGGTAGTGATAAATATCTGTCAGACATTGTTCTAAATAGATTTTTCTCGTTTAATCATGACAATGATCCTAAAAGGTAGGTATCATATCATACAGAAAAAAAAAATGAGGTTCAGGGAGTTTAAATAACTTGTCCAAGGCCATGATGTTATTCTAACTGGAGTTTTATGCCACACACAATATATATGTCTGTGTATAACAAGATATGTAAAATTTAAAGTGCTATATTTGGTTAGGAAAGAAAATAATACTTTTAGTAATATTTTACAAATAATTTACTGGCAGATTACTTTTAACATTAAAAACACTGAGGAAACCTGCAAAGAAATTATATACATGCTTTTAAATAGACAATTCTTTCAAAAGTCAATGAATTATTAAAGTCATATTCTCATTTTCTCCACTGTTTTTGGAAGGCTTTTTCAGGTTGGTAAGGACTGCTGTTTTTATTTAATGTGTAATTTCATCCATCTTACTTAAAGTAAGAAAGTACCATAAATGCAACAAATAAGCACATCATGTTCTTTAAGCACACATCTGCACAAAGTTAAAATACAGACCTTGCAGCAGAGTTAATGCTTATTTTTCAAACAGAATGCTATATAACCTAAAATGGCTAATATTTTCAACAGAAACTTGTTATAAGTGCAGGGCTTTTCCCTTCAAAGAATAAGAAAAGTCTTGTAAGGCTTTTCCCAAAGAATAAGAAATTCTCAAGATTCATGACTTCAGACATGGCCATTCAGTTTTATGTCATCATTTCCAGCATGGAGATTTAGGAGCTGAGGACTTGGTTCATTACATTAAAGCAACATGATACCCCACAGAGCATAGAAGAACCATGGTGATGCAACACAATCACTTTAAAAACAACTTAATATTAGTACGTGCTTTGTGGGCAAAACATATGATTTACAACTCCACCAAGAACCATGCTATAAGGGCAAAGTACATCTAATAGTCTACCCACTCTCAACACTTTCAAGAGACTTTCCTACTTGTCTATTTTTACCCATTAGCTTTACTCAGTTTTAATGGAGTAACGCAACAAGCACAAAATTAAATGCAAGAACACATCATTTTAGAAATGAATAGGTACAGGTAGACAGAGCAGGTCTTAATCTGTAATACAGGTTAAATATTCAATAATTTAAAAAGAAAGCTTATACTCTAAGAAAATCTGGCCTTCTAAAAAACTATGTAAACTGTGGGACATAAATGCAAGTTCAGTAGTAATTTGTTACTCTAAAAATCTGTTACTGTTTCTATATTTTCTCTCTATATAACATATATATGTTACTCTATGTATACATTTCTTTAAAATTTATTACTATTTTCAAATTTACTGCTCTTAATATTAAAAATTGAATATAAATTCAAGTGTGGCAAACGAGGAAAACCTGCTGCTCCTTTATGCTATCTACAGAGGAGCTGAATTTACACAGCTGAGAATATCACAGTACCTATTTAGATTAGCTTACAGAAGGAGTGCTGGCTTCACCATAGGGGCTGTTCTAGCAGTCAAATCAAAGGGACAGCAATGTGAACTGCATTTTAATCATCACTGAGGAATCTTTTCAAACTTTTTTTAAGACAGGGTCTTGCTGTTTCACCCAGGGGCTGTAGCAGTGGTGCAATCACAGCTCACTGTAGCCTTGGACTTCCAGGCTGAAGCGATCCTCCTCCCTTGGCCTCCCAAGTAGCTGGAACCACAAGCCCAGCTAATTTTTATTTTTTAAAAATGTTTTGTAGAGGTGAGGTCTCAATATGTTGCCCAGGCTGGTTTCAAACTTCTGGGCTCAAGAGATCCACCCACCTTGGCCTCCCAAAGTGCTGGGATAACAGGTGTGAGCCACTGCACCTGGCATTTTCAAATGTCTTACCTCCTTGTTAAACCAAGATACTGAAATAGGCCAGAATCCTTAACAATCTATGCTGGTGCAAAATATACAAGTAATTATAAATTCAAGTATCATTCATTTATAGAGAGGCCCACAGAACTACCTGTTGTACTACAGAAGCTAACAGATATCTAGTGAAAATAATATTTAAATGGCATTTCTTAGCATAATAATCAACCACAGAAAGGGCAAAGAATTATCCAGTAGAACTTACAGCTGAGACCGTTTTTTTACAGTAAATTAACATACTAAGATAAACATTTTAAAAATGTAACCCCTTCAGAAAGTCATGAAGTTGTTCTGAAAGCTCTTCCAGACTCTGATGAGAGAATATAGTTTTAAAATGCATGCAGCTATCTGGGCATGGGTGGGGGCGTTTTAAATGTTATTTCTTGGTACCATTTGGAGCACCTCCTGCATATATGAGTAGAAGAAAAAAAAAAGAAATGACAAGAGAAAGATTTCCTGTCATAGATGAAGGAATGCAGTTTGTCTTCCAAAGGACTTGGTATTATAAGCATCAGACTGTTACCTGCTTCTGACTTCTGAAGAACTTACTAAATGTTTCCTGCTTTTTCAAAGATCTGTTATACATGTACAGAAACTGGATACTCATTGCATGTTGCATTCATTGTATGTAGGAGAATATATCCTTAGAAAGCTGTTTTATTTTAAAATTTCTATTACTTAGCAATTTAGCATTACTGAATAAGAGTAAAAATTTTTTAAAGTGCCATTTAAAAAGTCCCGAGATAGAAATCTTCTAAAAGATTTAGGATGATCATCTTTTCAGAAATAGTTGAACAGTGCTCATATAGTTACCTCAAAGTATCTAAGATCAGTGAAATAATAACCAATGCCATACACAACCACAGTGATTATGCAACTTTCCCTATTTCAGAACCACTCGCTTTATACTGTGTAATTATCATATAATTTAAACAACTGTACGTATACCTCTAAATGAGTATGAGTATATAAAAATAGGAAAGGTGTTGTGTACTGAAATGTTGCTATTATTGCTCCAAAGACATCTAAACTGTTGTAGGAACTGTCTTAGAAATAAATTTACAAGTGACATTAAAATATCAGTCTTCTCACATTTTGAAAAATAACAAACCATTACCCTCCCAAAAGAGAACCAGAAAAAAAAAAATCAACAACCCAGTATTATGCAGCCTGATCACCCTTTTCCTGTGAGTATGGTTGTTTCACACACCCTGCCATTCCCCTGCCCAAATGATAAAGATTTGCTAAAATCAAGGCTCTTCAAAGGAATGTGACAAAATGCTGAAACCAACAAAGAATAATTTAGAAAAGCATACTCAGCTTTATTCAATAAACATTTATTTACTGTGGAGGAAGGCTCTATGAAAGATAATAGAGCCTTTGCCTTGAATGAGCTTACAATCTAATTTTAAGTAATGACAGTATAAAATAGTCTTCCGCTTGTATCTGCTCTTTTAGAGGCAGGACTTTATGTGCAGATAAACAGATACTTTTGAAAGTGCGCAGTACAGATTATTTCATTTAATTATCTCAAATATTTATTGTGAATGTAGATTTGCTGATAAGAAAACAAAATCTCAGAGAGATTAAGAGACTTGCCCACACCTGACAACATAAGGTAGTAGTAGTGAAGGTAAAAGTTATAACAGATTACATCTTCATTAGCAGGCCTACCCTTTTACTTTCGGAGATTTTCATGCAGACAGATTTAGATCTCTGATAAACCTTGGCACCCAGGACCACTGCCTGGGAGAAATTTCTTACTATTTTTTAAACCAAATTCAAAAGGAAAAAGCTTTGGCTCTTTTTGAATTTCTGAATAAGAGTTGGACAAAATTAAGTTAGTGGTTTCAAAGGCTACAGACTCTCTACAGCTCAAAAACACTGTGTTTAGAATTAATATAATTTAATTTACTGCCTGTAAAGCCATAATGTGGATTAGTGCCTGTGAATGTTTGAAAGAAGAGGGCAAATTAAAAAAGTAGTATTTAAAAACATACAGGCTCATGGTGGAAAAGCTGAAATTAAACAGACCTTGTACCACTAGGGAATAAAACCTATGTATCAGAGGTAGAGGACTCTTCCTTGGGAAACAGCCTTTTTACTATAAATGCCATCCTGTCAAGGAATCCTCCTATCAAAAAATTTGAAAATGCTTAACATCTGCCATTTCAATAAATCCCTAGTTGTCCTCTGAATGGGCAAAAACGTTATTCCATTTAAAGAGTATGCAACTGAGGTCAAAGTAACTCGCTTATGGTGACACTGAGAATCAGAAGACAAGCTAAGATTAAAATCCATAGCTAGGCTGGGGGCAGGAAGGGCAGGAGGGAGATAATGGGAAACTAAATCAATAACCTACTGAGTTTCAGGCTCCAGACTGAGTGGTCTAAACTTGATGAAAAGAAAAAAAGGAGAAGGACAGGCAAATATTTTGAAGATGGAAGAGGCTGAAGCAAGCACAACTTTATGATTGGCCAGCAACTCCCTCACACTCCTCCTTCATTGGGTACTAATAGGTTGCTCCAGAAACACAGGAGAGAAACCAGCATTTTCTCCAGTCTCAAAACCCAATATTAATATTCATTAACAATGTTAAATGTCTCAAATTACATCCAGATCACATGAAAAAACAACTTTTTTTCTTGGGGACCAACCATTGTAACTCTCCCCCACTCCCTCCAACTACCCCCATTTCTTTTATGGCTTAGCTTAGCCCCTCCTCAATCACAACAAAAATAACAGCAATAATAATCATATTAACACTAGCTTACTCTGTCCAGGTGCTAAGTATTCTACATATATTAATTAATATAACCCCATGAGATATGGTACTATTATTACGCACATTTAACAGACAAGAAAACTGAGGTATAGAGAGGTTAAATAACATTCCCAGTTCAAACAGCCATGATTTGAATCCAGGCAGTCTGACATTTCACTGCCTCCAGACTGAGTTAGGGGAAAGTTATGTCAAGTCTCAGGTTCTTGATCTTCCTAGTTTCCTCTACCAGCTTTGCCAGAAACGTCATGTGGGCTGTGTTTTGGAACAGTGTGTAAGACATTGGATATGACAATCAATCCATAGCCTGATCATCTAATTCTCAAGTGGGTGAATTTTTTTCACTTTTCTCATTTGTAAGGGCACTTTTGAAAATATGAATGTTACTTCTTGGGAACTAGAGTAAGATGCTTAGGTTTTAACTACTAACAACAACACACAAAACTGGGCCCAGTGGCACACACATGTAGTCCCAGCCACTAGGGAGGGTGAGGAGTAGGGTCATTAAGCCCAGGAGTTTGAGTACAGCCTGGGCAACATAGAGAGACTGCTGTATCTTTAAAAACAAAATTAACTTTTAGCAATCTGTCCACTTAACATTTTTATATTTTAGGTTTGGCCTCTCTTTTATGATGCTATGTCTTTTTATAAGGCAATCTAATATTGTCTAGCCATAGGTCTATTAGAAATTAATGTAGGATAACTAATTGATACACATCTTACATTATCATTTATCAAAAGCCAGGAACGAGTCTTTCTGCCCTGCTGCCAATTCTTATAAGGCAAGTCCAAGTTCAGAAAACTTCGGGCTTTTTCAAATTTGCAAATAATCTCTTAGGTCTGTTTACCTAATCATCATTTATTGTACAGCATTTGCAGTTGGATTTCTTTTCAGGCAAGTTTCCCACAAAGGAACGTGTTTTTATCATTGCAGGAGTTAGCTGGCATGCCAATGCAGAACGAAGCTGTGGTGAATTTTAGATGTAGGGAGGTGTGTTAGACATATTCAGTAGGCTGACTCACCTGTAAGAAAAATTGCAAATTACAACTCATGGGCCTTCTGGTTGCTCATAGTGAAAACTCTGAATATCAAATCTGTGAAGAGTCAATGGTTGCTGTTTGTTTTTTAAATAAAACCAATGTAAACTCTTTGCATTACAGTCACTTATTAGTTAGAAGACTTCTTTGCTCGGCAGTAAGCTCCGGTTGGAGGGAAGGCAATGAAGACTCTGAAGGCAATTCTCAAGGAGCAGTTCAGAGATGCTAAATCCTTGAACAGGAATGGGAAAGAGACAGAGACTGAGATATGCCCACTCATTAAGGGTCTTCAGTAGAGGCCATTCTTCACTATCTGGCTTGACTTATTTTAGCTCCACGGCAGGGAGCTAGGCAGAACCTTTTAAGGCCCTCCCCCAATCTCAACTACTTTTTAGCTCAGGGCACCAGTTAGGAATCTTTATATTCATTTATCTCATGACGGAATCCTTGTGTATCTGTTGGGTTAATCTACTTTTGGTTCTAAAAACCTGACACAAGTTTTTAGTAAATTAAAGAAAAACACTGTTTGGCTTTTGTACAGAAGTTTCTTCCCTCCCCAAATAAATATTTTGCTATGTGATTATTCCTGTCCCAGACCTGAATTTTACATTGACGGCTGTCTACTCTCTGATACTTTTCAACATTGATTGTAAGGGTCACAAATAAGCACATCAGCAGAAACAAAGGAAATCCTATAGTACAAATATCACAAACAGGTATTGATACAAATCATTCCTTGACATACATTTACCTGGTCCATTCCAATGCTACTGCATGTGATATTCCTGCTACACAGGCTGTTAACCACTTATAGAAACTAGTATTAGAATTCCTCCCTAATGGGAAAAATTGAAATAACAAATACTAGCTAATGCTTTATCAAAATGAGTGCCAAGTGACAGTCTTGACAATAAATTTCCTGATATTTTTCAAGTTAAATCAAGAGCACAACCACTTTCAAGCTTAACTATCTGGAGTGAATCAAATTCTTAATACAGCAGATTCTCTGGGAGAGTGCCAGGTCTCACTGTGGCACATACAAATCAGCATCATCTGCAGCACCAAGCACTACTCCTGGCACCTTATTCAAGAAAAAGAGGAAATCGGATACCTGCCTTAGCTCTCTGGATCAACCCAAATGGTAGGACAAAAACAGAGGGGGTAGTAGTGGGGAGAATAACCCCTAAATAGGCTGTTTCTGGGTCTCATTCTACTAATATAGCAGCAATTTTACTTATGGTTTATGGTACACAACACAACAAACTCACTCACACACACAGACATGACAGTTTCTGGATGATGACAGAAAACAGTAAGAAATCCTCTTTCATGGTCTCTAGACTTTTAGTCTGCAAAATCTAGGAGGGCCTTGGCCCTGGATACAATGCTCTGTGAAGGCAAATGGGATTCAGTTTGGGGAGGTCTTGAAATTTTTTCAATCCACAAGAGATTCTGGAAGAAGTACTTACACAATATTTAGGAAAGGCAACATTAGGAAAGGATGATCTATGTGTTCTACCAACAATTTTGTTTATACAACTGCATTGACCACAGCCAGTTTAGATTATACAAAAAAAAAATACATGAATTAAAGTAAAGCTAAACATTTCATTTTGTTCTACTGAAGTTATCAGTTCCTGAGTAGTTCCCTTCCTCAGTGTTCTTTTATGTAGTCATCTTTCATTATTAATTCCTATCATTTATTTTTTCATCAAACATTGCCGTATCAGTATTTGTCAGGTGCAAGGGATAGAGAGGTAAAACAGGCTCTTATGATCCATGTCCTATTGGAGCTTACAGCCAATAATTATAAACTAACCTGAAATTTAATTGTCACTAGCTTAGTAAATCTGGTGCCAAATTTTCAGATGCATTATTTATTTTGCAGAGACAAGGACAATTGAAGGAGCTCATGGCTTTACTATGATATTCTACTATGTTCTACTCCTTTTTGACCATCTGAGCCTATTATGAGTAAGTGGGGTATGGTGGAGTAACCAAGGGGTACATCAAAAGCAGCTTTTTAATGAAAAAAAATTAACATTATTTTTCTTGCTTTTATCCCAGATGTGTCTTAAGATTCCTGATCTCTAAGATCAGTTCAGTGTTCCCCATATTCTTTGTACTCTTATTTTAATATTTACTCTGAATTTTGTTGATGATTTTATGCATCATTTAGAACGTGCAGAGCACTGTGGCAGGGGCTGAAGAATGTAAAAATGAATAGAGGTGATTTACGCCCTCCAGGAGCCTCCCAAAGTAGGAAGGATATAACTTATACTCACAGATACCATAACAGAGGTAAGAAATTAGTAAATGCCCTTAGTGAAGCATAAAGGTTGTTCAAGGAGAAAGATCTCATTTCCAGCTAAGGATATCTCGTCAGATCAAAGATGATTTCAAGGCTCTGAACTGAGAAGCTGAAAGGATGAACTGAAATAATATGAGATGAAAAAGATTATAGTTGAAGATTTTGGGGAGAGACGGGTTCAGATTTAGGCATATTAGGTTTGAGATCTTAAGTAGGCAGATACAGTTTGGAAGAGTGTTTTGGACTAAGAATATAAATTTGGAAGTAATGTGCTTATGACAGTCCTTAGAGCCATGGGACCAGATGAGATCACTATGGGAGTAATCACTGTTTAGTTCTTTAACTTTTCCCTTTTCCACTCCCCTCCAATACAGTGAGTTTCCACTTCATCCTCCACAGTGTCTCTAGTATTCATATTATTTTTGCCATTTGTAACCAGTTACTAATTTTCATATCCTTCATCCAATCTTTCAGTAAATCCTATTGAGTCTACTTTTAAAGTATATCCAGAATCTGAACACTTCTCACCATGTCTTCTGCTGTATCATCTGGATCTCAGTCATCATCTTTCTCTTGGATTACAGCAATTAGTTTAACTGGTCTCCCTGCTTCTACCACTGCCCCTTACAGTGGACTTAAAACAGCAGACAAGGGGATCCTTTTAACATGTAAATCAGATCATATCACTCTTTCAGAACTACAGTCAAACCCCTATAGTAGCCTCCCAATGCCCTTTTGACTCAATCTCCTATTTTTCTCTCCCTTGCTCACTCTGCTCTGGCCACACTGGCTGCCTTGTTATTCCTTGAACATGTCATGCCTGCTCCCACATTCGAACCTTCACACTGTCTGGCTCCTCTTCCTGGAACTCTTTCTCTAGATATCTGCACAGCTAACTCTTTCCTCCGTCAAGACTTTTCTTAAATGTCACCAAGTCAATGAGGCCTGCGATGACTACCCTACTTAAATTTTCAAACCCTTACCCACAATCCTGGCAATCCCTATTCCATTACTCTGCTCTTTCCCTGTTTCCCACAACATTTTATCACACTGTATAATTTATTTATTATGCTGGTTGTATACTGTGTCTCTTTGAGAGCAGGGATCTTTGAATGTATTCCAAGATTGCATAACAGTACTTGGAATATGGCAATCACTCAAAAGACTTTTTTAAATGAAAGATTCTGTCAGTTCTAGCCTAAGTTAATGGAAAGAGATTCATGCCATTAACTATTCATTACTGAGCCTTTTTTGTTTGTCTTGTTTTTGTGTGGGGCTAGTGAGGACTGATGATAAAAGAAGATGGAGTTGTAAAAGGAGGGACAAAGGGGGGTGGTACAAGTTTCAATTTTAGAAACATAGAGTTTCCATTGCTAAGATATTCATGAGAAAATCTCTCACAGACAAATGGAAAGGTTGGGCTAGAGCTTAGAAAGGCCTGAACTAGGGATGTTAAGACATAGGATTTGAATTATATAGTCAGGTAAGAGATACAGATGGTCATGTGTATGGGTAGAATCATCCAAGGAAGCAAGTAGAACAAGTAGAAAAAATGATGAAGGTCAAAAGCTTGAAGAATATATACATCTACAGGGCCAGAGGAGAAAGAGAAACCAGAGACAACATAAAAGTCATGGTAGAAGGTTGGTAAGTTGATAGTGTCAAATGTGGCAGAATGGGTAAAAGAGACGACTGGTCATTAGTTGAGAGAATAATTTCAGAAGAGGGGTAAGGATAGAAGCCAATTGTAAAGGACTGGGAGAAAGCAGGAAGAAAGAATTAGAGGCAGATAGTTCTGAGAGGGTAAGCAATGAAAAGAAGGAGTGATGGGTTAGAAGGTCTAAGGGAAAGTAAGATAAAAGGTGGCCACAGCTTCTAGCTTTTCGGAAGTGAGGAATAGGGAGACCCCAGCAATAATACATCTTTGGCCAAAAATGATGAGAAGAAGTGAAGACATTAAAGATACAAGAGACAGTTAGTTATAAAGCTTTATAAAGCTATTATAAAAAACCTTATTCATTCGGCTGCCACTCCCCCACCCCTCACATTTAGAGGTGAGGCAATTAAGACACAGAGATCAATACAATGGGCAAGGTCAGGAGTCCTCAGCAGCAACCTGGCAGAAGTCAGGGTGGGGAAGGAAAGAGAATCAAGACATGGAGGAGCAGTGTAGGGAAGGATGGGGCAGAAGGAGTAAAAATACAGAGACAATCTGAAGACAGGATTGTAAGGTAGTTTTGAGTTTTTTCAGTGAGGTAAGAACTGTCACCAGGTGAATGTCAGAAGACACTGAAACAAGTAAAAGGAATTTAGAATAGAATGGCTTCAAAGAACTATTGAGGGAAAATCTATTTGTGGCAACAGTGTAGAGCAATACTCTAAATCCCATGTTCCCCTTATATATTCTATAACATGGGTTCTCTTGCCATATTTAATTGACATTCTACCTCCATCCTCTTGCTGAAAACCCTGCTCTGGCTCTAGGATGAACACGCTACTCCTGCTCTGTACCATACTCCTCTCCTAAAATAAGACAGCAAACACATGCCTCATATAAAAAACATGATGGAAGGGAATTATTTTTAGTGGAATATTCTTCAGGAAATAGCATATCTGCAGCAGAACAGCATAAAATTCTACATACTCTAGAGAAGAATCCATTTCCTACATACCCCTTAATAAAATAAATCGGCACAGTTTCATTTATTGGACAGGGTAATGTTTCCTTGAAAGAAAAGGCAGTGTCAAATTTCAGCCACGTGATGATAGAGTAACACTCAAAGACAGCATATTCCAGATACTTTTTTTTTTTTCTTCTTAAGAAGCACATGTAACACAAGCCCTGTTACTTTTCTGTGCAGAATAATACATAGAGTCTTTAGGGTACAATACCTTTAATTGGAAAGACCATTATGATTTCATTAAAATCTGGCTGCAAGCTAGCTTTTTCATTGTAGCCTAGTTAAAAGCTCAAGCTTTAAAGTGAGATAGATCTAGTTCAAATCTTGGTTCTACTAGCTAAGTCAGCTTAGGCAATTTACTTACCTATCAGAGACTCTGTATACCTGAAGAAGTGGGAATAATAATAGTACCAACCTCACAGGGTTGCTGTGTGAGGTTTAAACATGATGATGCTTCTAACATGCTTGGTAATGAGGAAGTAGTCAATGAAGGTTGTTTGTACTGGACCATTAACTATTCCAAAGCTAGCCTGAGCTATATTTTTCTGTCTCCAATTTTCTAAATGCCTCTTTCTACAGAATGACATTTTTAAAAACCTACCCTAAATGTAACCTTCTGCATAAAACTTTACAAGATTCCCCTATTTGGAAATGAGTTCTTTTTCCTGGGAACAACCTTTGTGCTTCACAAAGGGTACTTTCTAATTGTTCAGCACTACTGTGATACCTGTGAATGTAAGTTTTATCCTCCCCAAGGAGTTATTAGGCTCCTTGAGAGCATAATCACCTCTATTCATTTTTATATACTTCAGCCCCTATCACAGTGTTCTGTACATTCTAAGTGATGAATAAAGTCATCACCAACAAAATTCAGAGTAATTATTAAAGTAAAGAACACAAAGAATATGGGGAACACTGAACTCATCTTAGAGATGAGGGATCTCAAGACACAACTTGCATAAAAACCAGAAAAAGTTTTAGTTCATAACAACTAGACATTCATACTTCAAAAACATAACATTATAAGCAGATATAAAAGGTAAACAAGTAGAAAAAAATGCCAGTCCATATAACAAAGGGCTTTAATATTCAAAGAACTCATACATAAATAAGGCCTTTAAAAAATTATATAAATAATAAATATAAACAAAAAAGTTGACTTTCTTTAAACCACTAAATAACTCAGGCTATAAAATATCATAATCTCAATTTTCCTAAAAACAAATATGAGACAGACTATCATAAACATGAAAAGAAAGACATAATCATGTTACATTTTGATGTATTTATGTGGGTGATATTATGGAAGGGTGACATTAAAGCCATTTATTTCCAATAGTTTTCTGACATAATTAAAACATGAAATGTACTGCAACAAAAATTCTTTTAATAGAACTGAAATCAAACCAATGATGACCTAATCACATCTTAAATGGGCTTTTTTCTTCCCTGGGAAGACACTTGTGTGAGAATATATAGAGTATGAACTACCTATGCTGAGTGATGTTTAAACTAAGCGTACTTGATAGACAGAAATTACTATCACAGTTCCAAACTGGATAATGGGGATGGTAAGATAAATTGCTAATTTCATCTCTAGGTTTTACACTTGATCTTAGCCAAAAGGCCGAGAAGCGATCATCTCTAGGTTTTGAAGGTCAGGAGTTGGACTGCAACAGAAGAAATTTCCCACTAAATACTTCACAAATACCCTCCTCCTGAGAGACAAGCTTAGTCCCAAAGGAAACAGACAGAAAGGTGAAGTCACTAGCAGGGCATTTATATTTCACATGCAGAAACTGGACCACATCAAAGCTGGCAAAAAAAAGTCCTGTTTACAGGAGAAATTCAAGATTTTTCAGGTTTGAACATTGCTGATGACATTATAAATCAGTGTGTTACTTGGTGATGTATTTCAAGAGCCACAAAGACTTTTAAGCCCTTTGGTAGAGTAATTCTACTTCTAGGAATCCATCATAACGAACCACTATTAGCACTACTATAACTAAAATAAGTTACAGTTCAATCAGTTGATGAAACATTATCTAGCTTTTAATGAGAGGGGTATGCAGAAACAAAAAAAATGTGTTTACAATAGAAAGCAAATTAACAAAAATTGAAAAACTTCTAAACCATATTATAACTAGATTATGGAAACAAACAAAAACATACATTATAAAAGATACTGGCCGGGTGCAGTGGCTCACGCCTATAATCCCAGCACTTTGGGAGGCCGAGTAGGACTGCCTGAGCGAAGGAGTTCAAGACCAGCCTGGACAACATGGTGAAGCCCCGTTTCTACTAAAAATACAAAAATTAGCCGGGCATGGTGGCACAGCACATGCCTGTAGTCCCAGCTACTTGGGGCTGAGGTGGGAGGATTGCTTGAGCTCAGGAGGTTGAGGCTGCAGTGAGCCAAGATCACACTACTGCACTCCTGCCTGGGTGACAAAGTGAGACCCTGTCCACATCCCCTCCGATTGATTCTCCCCCTCCCCCCAAAAAAAGATAGTGATTTGCACAGAACAAAATGATAATTTAGTCTCCACGTACTCCTCAGAATTATTGCAAGAAGTCTATGAATCCCTGTGCACATATGCACCTTCTCATCAAACACTAAAAATACAATTATTATGGAACCACAATTTTTTTTATATTAAAAAAATCTGAACCATGGCCCAAAGTTGAGAACAAGACAAGGATATCTACTCTCACCATTCCTGTTCAACACTGTACTGAAGGTCCCGGCCATTGCAATAGGCAAAAAAAAAAAAAAAGAATAAAGAAAAGAAAAAAAAGAAGCATGAAGATTAAAATGGAGGAAGTAAAGTTTAATATAGTTACTGATGACATAACTACTTATATAGGAGAACTTAAGGAACGTACAAATACCTAGTAGAACTAGTAAGTTAATTTAACAAGTCTGCAGCATATAAGGTTATTATACAAAACTCGTATTTTTATATATTAGCAACAAACAAGTAGCAGCAAATTTTAAAAACTCCATTTACAATAGTGTTGAAAAACATATAACACCTTTAATAAAACACATGTAAAACCTGTACACTGAAAGCTAAAAGACACAGCTTAGAGAAATAAAAGATGACCTAAATAAATGCTGACATAATAAGTTCATGGACTAAAAGACTTGATAAATATTATTAAGACAGCAATATGACATTTTTTTTGTCTCTAAAAAAATAGAGGTAAACCACAAACTGGGAAAAAATATTCATAAATCATATATTTGACAAAGTACATTTTTATATCTGCAGAATATATTAAAACCCCCAAAACTCAATAATAAAAGGGCAAATAATTCAATTAGAAAATGGCCAAATAATATGAACAAATATTTCACAAAGAAGATATAAAAATGGCTAGTAAGCACATTAGAAAGTGTTCAGTGTTGCCAGGGAAATGCAAATTAAAACCACATAGATCTTTCCACACACATTAGAATGGCTAAAAACAACCATCACCACCTAATGTCACATGACAAAAATGCAAGGTAACCAGAATTCTCATGGTGAAAGTGTAAAATGTGAAATGGTACGACCAGAGGAGTTCCAAGAAAACTGAACTTTCATCTACCTCATGACTTATCAATTCCTCTCGTATGTATTTTTCTAAGATAAATGAAAACAAAGGTCAAAGACAACAAAAAAACTGCGCAAGAATATTCACAGCAGTTTTACTCACAATGGCCAAAAACTGGAAATAAGCAAGGTTCATGTGATATTGGGAAGTACATATCTGGCTTTCCTCCTGTTTCCCTGCAAAAAGCTCCTAAAACCTTTGGAATCTCCAGAGTGATAGATAAGAGTGTCTTTTGTATGACACGACTGGTAGCTGGGGTCCCCTAGATACCTTCAGGATAGGGGATGGTCACCAGAAAAACCAAACAAGTGACTAGAGGGGTTGTCACCTTCAGCTCCAGACCCCCAACCTCCAGGGAGGGGAGAAGGGCTGAAGGTCGAGTTGATCACTAATGGCCAATGATTCAATCATGCCTATGTAATGAAACCTACTAAAAACCCAAAAGGCCTGGGTTCCAATGAGCTTCTAGATAGCTCAACACCTGGAGGTTCCTAGAGGGTAGTATGCCCATGTAGAAGTTCCATATCCTTTCCCCCATATACCTTCCCCCTATACCTTTCCCTATACATCTTCTTCATCTGGCTGTTCATCTGTATCCTTTGTAATATCCTTTATAATAAGTGGATGAACATTAAGTAGATGTTTCCCTGAGTTCTGCAAACTGGCAAATTAATTGAACTCCAGGGTCATAGGAATCCTGAAGTTACAGGTCACAACCAGACCTCTCAAGTTGGGAGCAATCTTGTAGTTCTGAGCCCTCAACCTGTGGGATCTGACACTATCTCCAGGTAGATAGTGTCAGAAATTAACTAAATTAGAGGACACCCAGGTGACGTCTGCTGGATAATCTGCTGCAGAATTGACTGGTTGGAGGGGAGAAATCCCTACATATTTTGGTGACCAGAGGCCACGAAAGTGTTCTATGTTGTACTGAGAGTAGACAGTATAAAAAAGTTTGGTATTTCCTATATCTCTTAAATTTCATTAACAGGAAAATAGATAAGCTGTGGTATATTCACACAATGGAATATTACTGAGCAATAAAAAATAAGCTACTGGTACTTGCTACAACATGGATAAATCTCTAAATACGATGCTGAAAGAAGCCTTACACAGATGAGTACAATTGTATGGTAGAGGGAGAAAACTAACCTTTGGTAGAAAAAAATCAAAACAAGTAGTTACCTCTGGGAGGTTGGGGCAGTAACTGATCGGAAGAGGTATAAGGGAACGTTTTCAGATAATAGAAATGTTCCTGATCTCAACAGCAGTTTGGTTACACAGAAGTAGGTATTTGTCAAAATTCAGCTAATATAAACTTAAAATTTAATTGTTACGTAAATGTGACCTCAAAAGAAAAAAATCGTAAAGAATTATCAAATTGTAGTTAATTATATGAATGCTTAAGTATTTAGTGCAAAGTGTACCAATGTCTGTCTGCAATCTTCTTTGGAATGCATCAAAAACATAAGATGGGCCAGGTGCAGTGGCTCACGCCTGTAATCCCAGCTCTTTGGGAGGCCAAGGTGGGTGGATCACTTGAGTCCAGGAGTTTGAAACCAGCCTGGACAATACAGCGAAACTCTATCTCTACTAAAAATACAAAAAATTAGCCAGACCGTGGTGCTGCACACCTGTAACCCCAGCTACTTAGGAGGTTGACGCGCAAGAATCACTTGAACCCAGGAGGCAGAGGTTGCCGAGATCACACCACTGCACTCCAGTCTGGGTGACAGAGAGATCTTGTCTCAAAAACAAAACAAAACAAAACAAGACAAAAAAAAATAAGATGGATGGATAAGTAGATGGATATGTGGAAAAACAGATAGAATAAAATGTTAATGATAACATCTAGGTGTGGCTATATAGGAATTCACTGTAAAAATTTTTTTTCCAATTTTTCTGTATGGCTAAATTTTTTCATCATAAAACTGTTGGGGGAAACCAGGAACTAGTTGGATGTTCACAGAATATTATTTTTTACTTCTTTTTTCTAAGTTTTCTATAATATACTATAGTCTTTTTAAATATTTTTAAAAGAAAGCAAATTAATGACATTTACTAAAATAATCAAATATAAGTGATTTTAAAACAAAAATCTCATTTTAGATTCAATAAAAGTTAAAATATTCACTATATTTGTTACACTGTCATACAATTCAGTAAGAATCTTTAAAAAATGTCGTTATGTAGCAAGTCACTGTTTTTGAACTAATTAAAAAAATTTAAAGCTAATTAAATATGCTGTTAAAAAGATTTTTCTTTTTATACCGTAAACTTCCCTTCTACTCAAAAACTTCCCCCATGTCATTCTGTTAATGTATACTCACTAAAAGTACATCATTTCTTAGATTTTAAGATTTTAATAACCAATAAAGATAATATTAAGAAAGCTGAGTTGGTTGTTTACTTTCAAAAGGGTTTTATCTTTAGAAAAGCACAAGTTTTATGCCAGGTGCTAGTCAATTGTGTCTTGTTAATTTCCAAAACAAACAGAGGGGAGTGCCATGCAATTTCCATTACACACACTTCACCATTAGTATCAGGGTTTATTAGCTTGACAATGCTCCAGGAGTAATGGTTTCATTCCTCAGTGAAATGAAATAATGTGCCACATAACTCAGCAATGCAGAACTTCTGAAAAATGTTGTCACATTAAACGGTCATATTTTTCAGTTTCCATTATGCCAAAACAAAGGCCATTTGCTGTAAAGAACTCACTCTGCATATGGAGAATTCCCACATGGGCCTCAGACTTACCTCATTGCTATGTCATATGATTCTGGATGAATACAAGTTTGGTCCAAAGGATTTGGCTTCAGTAAAACATTCACTGCAGTTTTGCTCTTCTTTTTGCCCTGCTTCTCATTTGTGACCTCAACGTCTGCTGAAGATGTCACAGCAACTCCTTGAATTTGGCCTGAAGTTTCAGTTTGCTGACTATATAAAACCAGAAAAAACCACATTTATGAAAAGGGGAAGGTTGGGCAGAAAAGTCTTCAAATTAAAATGTGCTTACTTCTCTGTCATACAAATATGCGAAAACAGCAACCAGATTTTGACCTTTTACTTCATAGAAACTACCACTTATTTGTTTAAATCACTGGGAAAAGGGCTTTCTGTTACTTAAAGCCAAAAACATTCTTAACTGATTGTATAATTGCCATTCTAAGAGAGAAAAGAGGAAAATGTAGGGAAACAAAATAATAATATTTCCCAGAGCTAAGAAAAACAAGCTCTCAAAAGAATCTATTGAGTGTAGAACAGGATGAATAGAAAAAGACTCATACTTGGCTTCGCGCAGTGGCTCACACCTGTAATCCCAACACTTTGGGAGGCCGAGGCAGGCAGATCACCTGAGGTCAGGAGTTCGAGACCAGCCTGGCCAACATGATGAAACCCTGTCTGTACCAAAAATAAAAAAATTAGCTGGGTGTGGTGGTGCATGCCTGCCTGTAGTCCCAGCTACTTGGGAGGCTGAGGCAGGAGAATCACTTAAACCTGGCAGGCGGCGGTTGCAGTGAGCTGAGATCCTGCCACTGCACTCCAGTTTGGGCAACAGAGGGAGAGACTGTCTCAAAAAAAAAGAAAGAAAAGAAAAGCAAAAGACTCATACTTGACATATCATGGATAAACTTTACAATATAAATAATCTTTAAAATTCTAAAAGGCTTTCAAGAGAGAAAATTAAAACATTACTTTAAAAGGATCTGGAATCAGACTAGCATCAGATTTCTCACTGGCAAACATCAGATGTCAGAACATAGTGGAACAATATCTTAAAGTTTCTGAGAGAAAATGATTTTGAATTTAGAATCGCATACCTAGTCAAATTAGCATTCAAGTAGGAGGGCAAATTGAAATCATTTGCAGGTATGTAAGGACTTAAGTATAACCCATACCAAGCTCTAAAAGAATTTCTTAAGGATTAATTCTAGCAAAAACCAATAAATCAAAGAAAAATGATGATATGAACTACAAGAAACAGTGCAGAAACCACAAAAACTGATTAAATTAAATAAGTGCTCATGAATGATGTAAATATATATACATTATGTGTATATACACATATATACATATACACTATATAGTATATATGTAGTATGTATAGTGTGTATATAGTGTGTGTGTACAGTGTGTATATAGTGTGTGTGTACACACATAGTGTGTATATAGTGTGTGTACACACATAGTGTCTGTAGTGTGTGTACACACATAGTGTGTATATAGTGTGTGTGTACACATAGTGTGTATAGTGTGTGTACACACATAGTGTGTATATAGTGTGTATATAGTATGCACATACACACATAGTGTATATAGTATGTATATACACACACACATAGTGTGTATATAGTATGTATATACACACACACAGTGTGTATATAGTATGTACACACACACAGTGTGTATATAGTATGTACACACACACATAGTGTGTATATAGTATGTACACACACATATAGTGTGTATATAGTATGTACACACACATATAGTGTGTATATAGTATGTACACACAATATAGTGTGTATATAGTATGTACACACACATATAGTGTGTATATAGTATGTACACACACAGTGTTATATAGTATGTACATACACACACATATAGTGTGTATATAGTATGTATATACACACATATAGTGTGTATATAGTATGTATATACACACATATAGTGTGTATATAGTATGTATATACACACATATAGTGTGTATATAGTATGTATATACACACATATAGTGTGTATATAGTATGTATATACACACATATAGTGTGTATATAGTATGTATATACACACATATAGTGTGTATATAGTATGTATATACACACATATAGTGTGTATATAGTATGTATATACACACATATAGTGTGTATATAGTATGTATATACACACATATAGTGTGTATATAGTATGTATATACACACATATAGTGTGTATATAGTATGTATATACACACATATAGTGTGTATATAGTATGTATATACACACATATAGTGTGTATATAGTATGTATATACACACATATAGTGTGTATATAGTATGTATATACACACATATAGTGTGTATATGTGTATATACACACATTTAAAAAACAAAAATATACATCTATAAGAATATATTTTATATATATGGAGGAGTGTGTATATATAGTGTGTATGTGTATATGTATATACACACGTATATACACATGCATATAGTCTGTATACGTATATATAGGTTAAAAAACAAAAATATACATAAAATATTTTTATATATGTATAAAATATATAGAGAGAGTGAGAGAAAAGGAGGGGAGGGGAGGGGAGGGGAGGGGAGGGGAGGGGAGGGGACGGGAGAGGAGAGGAGAGGAGAGGAGAGGAGAGGAGAGGAGAGGAGAGGAGACGAGAGGAGACGAGAGGAGAGGAGAGGAGAGGAGAGGAGAGGAGAGGAGAGGAGAGGAGAGGAGAGGAGAGGAGAGGAGAGGAGTCTGAAACTAAAATCCCAGATCATCTTATCATGGGAGGCAGAGAGAGTTGAAGAGAGAAAGATTGGGAAGGATCCTGTTTCTAGTCTTCTCTAAGAGGACAGACACCTATTAACTCCAGAGGTCAGTCCAAAACCAATTTAAGGATGATCATAAGAATAGAAGATGTACAACTTTGAAATCACTAAGGAGAGATAAAGATGAGATGGGAAAACAAGGAGAGAAACAGAAAACTTATTAACTGATAAATCTAATAAATAGCGTAAAAGGAAAAGAAGAATCAGAAAGCATGATGGAGGGGCAAAATACGTAGGAAGAATAAGCCCAAACATATAAATAAATACAACAAATATGAATGTATTAATAACAGATTGAGTAAAACCACAAAATCTAGCTATGTGTTTCTAAGAGCCATATCAAAAATTAAATGTCATAGAAAGTATAAAAATTAAAAAAAACAGGCATATACAGTAACATTGCTAGCAAATAAATTTCAAAGCAAAAAACATTAAATGTGGTAGCAATATTCCATTCTGAATAAACCTATAGTTCATGAGATGTAACAGTCACAAATCTTCAAGTACCTAATTATCAGCTGGAAAAGTACAAGGCTTTAAAATAAGCTTCATCAATAAGACACTGATTAGACTAAATTACAGCCCATCCATACAATTAAATTTTATGCAGACAATATAAAGAATAAAAAATTAGAAATCTATATGTAATAATTTGGAAAGAGATCCAGAAGACTGAAACAAATAAAGCAAGTTTCAAATAGTTGCAGAGCCTGATCCCTTGTGTATACATTTTTAAAATAATAAACATATACATACAAGGTGACATAACTGTAAATTTACTTTCTGGAAGCAACATATAAGAAACTTTTTCAAGTGAGACTTGAGAGGCATCTTTTACTTTTTGTTCTTTTTTTATACTGTGAGTTTTTTGGTGTTTTTTTGGTTTGCTTGTTTTTGAGACAGATAGGATCTTGTTCTGTCGCCCAGGCTGGAGTGCAGCGGCATGATCTCGGCTCACTGCAACCTCCACCTCCTGGGTTCAGGCAATTCTCCTGTCTCAGCCTCCTGGGTAGCTGGGATTACAGGTGAGCACCACCATGCTCAGCTAATTTTTGTATTTTTAGTAGAGACGGGGTTTCACCATGTTAGCCAGGCTGGTCACAAACTCCTGGCCTCAGGTGAACGACGGCTCCTGGCCTATGCTGTGAGTTTTCTAACCAAGTGTTCAAAGAACATATAAACTAACAAAAACAGAATCATTTTATCTTCAATTTTTTTCAATTGTGACTTCTAGGTTTCATGATCTATTTAGAAAGAATTTCCATCACTCTAATGCTCTGCAAGATTTCCCCATGTTTTCTTCTGGTGCTTTTACAGTTTTTTACTTTTTTTGACATTTAAGTCTATGATAAATCTGTAATTTATCTGGGTATAGGAGTGAGAAGTGGGACTACAGCTTCCTTCACACATATTGAATTACTGGCAGTTGTCATAATATCATTTGTTAGATAATTAATCAATTTTACCCTACCATTTGAAATGTCACCTTTACCACAAACTAAATTCTAACCATGTTTTGGTGGATTTCAGACCTTATTCTGTGCTATTCCTACATCAAAAGCAAACTGTTTAATTTCCACAGCTTTATAATGTATTCTAGTGAGGCTTAATCAGTCTTTTCCAGAAGAAAGGTTATCTTCCATATGACCTCTATTATAATTTTGTCAAAATTATAAAGTCCATATGAATTAACCACGTAGTCCCAAAGTAGCAGATACGTAAATGTTCTTCTTTCATGATTATATCATGCTAAGAAGTTTATCTAACAAGCTTTTGTGCTTTCAGGATTAGAAAATAAAGAAATTTAGCTCTTGATCCACACAACTGATAATCAATGCTTTGGTCCATTTTCAGTGAGGAGGGAGTGGGGAAACATATCTATGCTTAGGGAACAGCTATGTCAGTATAAAGTGGTCATTTTGAAGTCACCATTGTCACCTCATCTTGTACCAGTCCTTCCCATTTGCTATGCCCTAATTGTGTGGGCCTTTGCCTCATTTCCTGAATACACCAAAGTTGGTCCTGCCTTAGGACTGTGCACACTTAGTGTTCACTTTGCCTGGAATGCTCTCTTTCTGATCCTTGGATGGCATTTCATTCAAAACTCTGCTCAAATAAGTTTTCAAAAAATAACGAATCTAAAGTAGTTGTATTACTCTCCTAAGACAGTGTCACATATCCCTGCTTTAATTTTTATAGCACTTCTTGCCATCTGAAAGTACTAATTTTACTAGTTTGCTTATTGTCTGTGTCACATGTTAAAATATAACTCCATGAGAATCCGGAATTTGCTGACTTGCTCACTGTTGTATTCCCAATGCCTACCAAAGGACAGTCACTCAACACTTAACTGAATGAAGGCATGAACAATGGACACTTAGAAAATTTTACACTAATCAGTGGTAGGATAGGTAACAGTAACAAGAGAGGAGGTTGACAATAGAATCAAAGTGTATACTTATACTCACCTGCAAAACGTTCGGATATAATCCTGGTTGATTCTGATGAAGCCAGCACACTGTTGGAAGGATTTTGGGCCCAGCCCTTTCACTTTCTTCAGCTGTTCTCGGTTGATAAAGGGTCCATTTTTCTCTCGCCATTCAATAATATTTTTGGCCCTGTTGGCATTGAGTCCTGCAATATGCCTAGAAAAAAAAAATAAGCAAACTGAAAAAAAGATCTCATCTGAAAAGACAATGATATAAAACATTTGGATCATAAAAACGACTGCAATGACATATCCTCATACGGCTAAGTTAAGTTAATCCAAAAGGGAGTTTAAAAAAAAAAACAAAAAAAAAACGGAGAAAAAAAGAGTTGTGCAAGAGGAAAGAAGGACAACAGAATAAAAAAATAATGACAAAACCAACAGCTGTCATAAAGATGCTGGTAAGAAGGCTAACACTGATGCAAGAAAAAAATGTTCCTTAGTTTTTCTATACTATTCACATTCCTTATGTTTCTGGATAAAGTAATAATTTTGCCTATTTTTTTCAGCATACATACAAAGTGAGTTAGAAGAAGTTATAATAGCTACAACTGTGTTGTACTACCTTTTTTGTGTGTTAGCCTGTTCTCAGTAATATAGAGCTGAACTACAGAAAGGCCCTTATCTATAATTGTCATGGTTAGTATAAATTATATACAAAGACTATATCATTAGGTAGTTTGCTTGGTGTCAAAAGATTATTTCAGAGAATCTCAACTCTATTATAAAATTCCATATATGAAATTATGAAATGTTTGTAGATGTGTTAGAAAATCAACAACTTAAAATGTAAGGGACAGTTTCTGCTATACCTGTTTCAGTGAAAACGGTCCAGATCAGGGAATTTCATGCTGCATTAGCAGACTTGTGTAATAAATGCAAAACTGTGAACAAAAAAGCAGCTCTTCTAAAACCATGGGGGAAAAGAAGATTATATAACATGCGATTATAGTATGATAAAAATTTTGACAGGTTTCTTGTGGAATCAGGGTAAAAATATGGTAACCATACCTTGAACCCTCAGAATTTATCTTTTGGTTACTGCCAGGTTTGACAGATGCATGCAAGAGGCTTAACTAGTGAAAAATCTCTACTCTCACGTGGTGGGAAACAGCTCTTTTCCATGTTAACCTTATTTAAATTCTATTAGCAACACTAATACACTCAATGGTTACCATATGCTCTTCACTTTAGACCTGCAATATTAAAAATGATAATGTGAATTGTTATAATTCTTTTCTTAAATGATGTCTTCCCCTCTGATTACTTAAAGCAATGTATAAACCCATAGACGTTCTCTACTTGACAACTTTATACACGTGTTCCCTTCTTCTAGCCGAGTTTGGACTGGACAGCCAGTTAAACTCAAGATTCTGTGATCTTCAGCCACATATTTGTCTCACCTTAACAAAACTTCTGAACAGATGTTAATATCCACTCCCACAAAGCTGACACATTCTTCTACAACACTGTCCAGTGTTGCCTTGAGTAAAGTCTGGGATACGTCATGCTGAAAAGACAAAGATCAAATATTAACAGTGAAGGAGATGTAGTTCTTGGACTATTCCATTACTCTGCCTATATTACTGGTGGTTAGCTAACACACACCATGGTAAATTTCTTCATTCCTCTTAGACACACTGTTAGCAGAATTAAGCTAAAGTCAAGGCATCTGTGGCTTCTTACTCTTTTAAGCTATGCATATATACCTAATTTGAATATAACAGTACCAGTATTTTTCCCTTGCCTGAAATTGTGCCCAGAGCAGTGGTTCTCAAACTTAAGCTTGCATTAAAATCACCTGTATGGCTTGGTAACACACCCACATCCAGATTCCTGATTCAGTAGGTCTAGGGTGGGGTCTAAGAATTTGCATTCTAACAAGTTCCCGGATGATACTGTGGCTGCTAGATCACAATGAGACATAGTCTCTAACATTCATGCACGGCCTTATAGTGTTATGGAGAAGAAAACATGTTATAATAGGAAGCAGTAAAATAACAGTAAGACAGTAAATCAAACTCGTTTCATCAAATTGAAGACAGTACTGTTTATATGAAGCACCATTTTATATACCACTAAGGAAGAAAATAGTCAATTAAACCATGACACATGCTTTCTTACTGCTTACATTTTTTATTTATTTGTTAAATATTGAAAGAGCTCTTTAGACTTATTTAGAAACCGTAAGAACCATATATCATGTACAAATAAGAAAATATAAGCAATCTAAACTGGCTAAGCTATTCCTAAAATTTCTTCACATTCAGTGTTCAACTCTTCTGATCACTTTTATATTCAAAATCATAGGTGTCAAGGTTTTCCATGCAGTATTGTTTTTTATACTAACAAGATCCTTGATAACGCAGCATTTCTTAAAAGAGTAATCCTCTGTTGTCTCTGGGACTTTCAAGCTTCAGATGCACATTCTTAGAAGCTTTGATGATAGTAGCACTATCTTAATCTTTTTATTTTATTTTATTCTTATTATTATACTTTAAGTTGTTCTAGGGTACATGTGCACAACGTGCAGGTTTGTTACATATGTATACATGTGCCATGTTGGTGGTAGCACTATCTGAATCTTAACAGAGGTTATTAACAGAAGACATTTTGGACAGTGACAAAACTCCTTTTCTGAAAGGTCCTTAAATGGTTTATTATTCAATGGTTTGTTAACTAAAACAGTGAAAGGTGTGCAGTTCAGTCATGTCTCTAGGATTAGCAACCAAGTTCATGTGGAAACTACACCATGATTTACCACAGGGACAACAGCAACTGTAGGACACCATTAAATGTAAGCTGCATTCTGATTTCAGAGGTATTAAAATGTCAGAAAATGGCCAGGCGTGGTGGCTCACGCCTGTAATCTCAGCACTTTGGGAGGCCGAGGTGGGCGGATCACGAGCTCAGAAGATCGACACCATTCTGGCTAACACGGTGAAACCCTGTCTCTACTAAAAATACAAAAAATTAGCCGTGCGCCGTGGCGGACACCTGTAGTCCCAGCTACTCCAGAAGCTGAGGCAGGAGAATGGCATGAACCCAGGAGGTGGAGCTTGCAGTGAGCGTAGATCGTGCCACTGCACTCCAGCCTGGGTGACGGTGTGAGACTCCGTCTCAAACAAAAAAAAAAAAAAAAAAAAAAAAAAAAAAAAAAAGTCAGAAAATGAGCATCTTACAATTGATGAAATGCAATATTTTAAAGTATTTGTTGACTAACTGAAGCTAGGTTACAACAATGAATACATTCGCTATTACTCATAATTCTAAAATTAATGATCTGTGGGACAGGAGACTTCTCTTTACCCAACATCAAGGAAAACAAGGAATATAATCTAGTAGAGTCCCCAAGTATTGTGATTACATTATTACCATTTAATAACAGCAGAAGCTTTTGTTCTGGAAGACTGAAGGGTACAGGAGCACTTCTGTATTTCAGAGATAACTTATTGGTAACTAGCCAGGCCGCAGCTAAAAATTTTGGATGTCATTTTAAAAATCTAATAAGCAAATATCACCATGAAAAAGATCGTAAAGTAAAACCTTAGATCTTACTGAGAACTTGGTTACTCTGAGCCACAGCTTTTAAGAAGCTAGTCTTTTGTCTAAGCAGATGAAAAGCAGCAAAATGAAAAGGGAACTTTTTAAAATGGGTGGGTAGGAGATAGTATGGCAATGTAAAGGCAAGCACAATGATAGCAACAAGAAAAAATATCTGAGGAACACAAAACTACAAACAAACCGGAAAAAGGAAGAATAATCGTTAAGAGCCATTAGAATAAGGGAAACAAGTTGATACAGTACTTCCTAGCACATCAGATGCTTAGGACAGCTAAATGAGTAAGCGACAGTCTCTGCAGCAGATTATTTTGGTTGCCTATCCTAACCTCTAGTTGTCAACCCCTTCTCCTCCTTTCAAACAGAAGCCTGACCGTGTGTCTAGCATTTATCCCATTTCTGCAAGGCCATATGCTTTGGAAAAGCTGGTCCCACCTCCCACAGACAATGGTGACTGGTTAAAATCCATGTTTTTCAAACTGAGGGTTATGATCAATTAGTGGATCATAAAATTAAATCAGTGATTTGCCACCGGCATAAAAAAATAAAGGAATAGAATAAACCACATACAGCATATTGTATATACCCTTAACATCGAATGAACAATAGAATGAACAATGCAGCCAATTGAGACTATCATGTGAGAGGAATACAACATAAATTGGTCAGGAATAGGTATTTGGTTCACTGATAACTCATTTGATCTTCTGACATGGATGGTCAATTTGACGATAATGAAGAGGTTAAAGAGTAACTCTGCAGAGTTAAAAGCAAAGCATGTGAGAAGTTTATCTATCGGCAAAGAGCTGATTCTTTCAACCAAGTTTAGTTAAAAACTTTCAGTGTATTTTTCAGAAAGAATGTTATTGAGTATAAAATTTTTCAAATTCTCAGCAACTGTAATATTTTAACTGATTTAGTATAAGCAGTCCTTAAAATGAATCACTCTATACTCAGAAGAAAAAAAGACAGTGAAGTAAAACCTACAGAGGCAAGCCCAACTACCAGATTTGGAAGTGTTGATAGTGACAAAATTGAGAGAAAATGTTGACTCCAATCAGTAATCTCTGACTTGACTTGAGCCACATTTTATATAGAAAATAATAACCATACGACTTTAAAATAAGCTTGATTTAAAACATGGTTTTATAAATGTGCAAAACAATAAAAATGACGGACCCCAGATGTGTTGTTGGTAATGATATTCTTGTAGATGACAGTGTTGAAATAAAACTTCAAACTTAAAAAACAAAATCACTTGGAACACCCCTACCACAGGGCTAAAATGAAAACAATGGAAAATAACAAATATTGATGTGAATGTGAAGCAAATGGAATGCTCAAGTGATAAATGCATTTTAGGTTAGATATGCAAGGCAAGGCAGTTTAATGGAGGATTTATTTTATATGGTTTAAATGTAACTTCACATAAAATTAAATCAGATGTGTTTACACAATGCAAAAACACATTATTGTTCCATATACATTAAACCAGATACATGGTAGGAGAATAAAAAATGGACAAATTACTAAGAACACCAACATTGCCAAAACTGACTCAAGAAGAAATATAAAATCTGAACAAACCTATAAGTACAGTCAATAAGTAATCAAAACTCTCCCAACAAAAAAAAGTTCAGAACCATACAGTTTCATTGGTGAATTCTACCAAACATTTGAAGAACACCAATCCTTCTCAAACTCTTTAAAAAAACAGAAGAGGAGCCAATACTTCTTACCTATTCTATGAGGCCAGCATTACCCTGATACCAAAGCCAAAGATACCTCAAGAAGAAAGAAACCTACATTTGAACTGATTTCCTATGAATACCAGTTCAAAAATCCTCAACAAAATACTAATAAACTAAATCCAACAGCCTATTAAAAGGATTGACATACACGACATACATATAATGTATTCAGTATGTATGAACTTAAGAACCAGACTCACATTGTTTTCATTTTAAAACAATCTCTCTTGACATTTTTAAATTTTAACTTTGAAATAATTTCAAATTTAGAGAAGGCATGCAAGAATAGTACTAAAACTTTATTACCCTTCCTTCACATAAATACTTCAGCGTATAGTTCCAAATAACAAAAACATTGACTTACATATCCATAATACAATTATTAAAATTAGAAAACATACTGATGTAATAATATTACCTAACATTCAACCCATGCTCAAATCATCAATTTTCTCAATTTTTCTTCACAGCATTTTCTTCCCAATCCATAATTCAACCTAGGATGACATACTGCATTTAGTTGCCTCATACTTTGTGCTAGGCAGCTTCCAAGATGGTTCCCAATGATCCTCAAATCCTGGTATTGATACACTTGTGTAATCCCCTCCTACTAAGTACAGAATTCATTGATGAATCTCATCTGAATAAATTATTATTAAGATTATTTTGCTACTCACAATGACCTGTTTGTGTAAAAAGGTATTTTTAATCTTGACCCAAAATTTGAAAAAACGGCTCAACCATGTACTATATATGCTCATAGCATTGTCCTCATGTATTCCAGACTGAAAAAAATTCATGAACAGCCCATATCTATACATTAAGTTAAATCTGTTCTAAATTTTTGTATTTAGGTATTAAAAACCTATTTAAACATAAGTAAAATAGCATTTAACTTACAATCAGTAGTAAAGATAAGCATTATTTTGAGAAACTTATTTTGAATTACATTTAATTGTATAAGACAGACATACATATACCCAAACAGAAGTGATGTGTGATAAGTGCCCTCGTCATGACGAAGTAAAATGTATTTCCTAGTGTGTCAAAATCAAAAGGTATGAAAAACAATGGTCTAAGCTAATCATGGTGGTCCCATTCTATTTATTCAATAATGGCAAATGAAATGTGAGGGTAAATCTGCTAGGTACTTCAGAAAAAGACTTCACTGCCCTTAAATAGAGTGAGAGAGAACTAGCCTTTTCTTCTTTTGATTCAAGTATGACTCTCAGTAAGCACTGTATCATGGGATGGCACTAGCTTGAAGAAAAGCTAACTTAGCGAGAATGGCAGGTAACATACATTGAGAGACTGTTTCTTCATTGATACTCTTGAGCTTCTGAATTAACGAGTTCTGTACTTAGCCCCCCTGAGCATCCTGTAATAAAATCTCTTTATCATTTAATCAAGAATCAGAAATTTCCTTATTGTTCAGGCCACTTTGAGTAAGGATCTCTGATGTTTTTCCAATTGAAGCAGTCACCTTATTTAGGGGCTCAAAGTCAAGCGGCAAGACTGAGACAATGAAAACTATCACCATACTATCAAAACTCCTTGAGATTTTACTGTCAGGCATTGTTGTAAAGCTTTATAATAGCACGTAACTGAATCCTCACAACAATTCTAAAACATGTACATATGACTTTATGCAGTATCTTCATATATAAGATTTTTTCTAAGGAAATAGCAAGACACTTGCACAAAGGGGTGTGTATATGTGTACAATCTAAATATCCACATAGAGGTGACTTGTACAAATAAATTATGGAACAGCCCTACAATGAACTATTCTGATGCCATTAAAAATCACACAGTAGGGGGTGGCTGGCAAGATGGCCGAATAGGAACAACTCCAGTCTGCAGCTTCCAGCGAGATCAATGCAGAAGGTGGGTGATTCTGCATTTCCAACTGAGGTACCTGGCTCATCTCATTGGGACTGGTTAGACAGTGGGTACAGCCCACGGAGGGCAAGCAGAAGCAGGGTGGAAAGCGCAAGGAGTCAGGGAACTCACTCAGAAAGCACAAGGAGTCAGGGAACTCCCTCCCTCCCCTAGCCAAGGGAAGCTGTGAGGGACCGTGCTGTGAGGGACTGTGCTGTGAGGAATGGTACACTCTGCCCCAAATACTACGCTTTTCCCGTGGTCTTTGCAACCCGCAGACCAGGAGATTCCCTTGGGTGCCTACACCATCAGGGCCCTGGGTTTCAAGCACAAAACTGGGCGGCCATTTGGGCAACACTGAGCTAGCTGCAGGAGTTTTTTTTTTCATACCTCAGTGGTGTCTGGAATGCCAGTGAGACAGAACCATTCACTCTCCTGGAAAGGGGGCTGGAGCCAGGGAGCCAAGTGGTCTAGCTCAGCAGATCCCAACCCCATGGAGCTCAGCAAGCTAAGATCCACTGGATTGAAATTCTCACTGCCAGCACAGCAGTCTGAAGTCAACCTGGGATGCTAGAGCTTGGTGGGGGGAGAGGCACCCATCATTACTGAGGCTTGAGTAGGCGGTTTTCCCTTCACAGTGTAAATAAAGCTGCAGTGAAGTTTGAACTAGATGGAGCCCACAGCAGCTCTGCAAAGCCACTGTAGCCAGACTGCCTCTCTAGATTCCTCCCCTCTGGGCAGGGCATCTCTGAAAGAAAGGCAGCAGGCCCAGTCAGGGGCTTATAGATAAAACTCCCATCTCCCTGGGACAGAGCACCTGGCGGAAGGCGTGGCTGTGGGCGCAGCTTCAGCAGACTTAAACGTTCTTGCCTGCTGGATCTGAAGAAAGCAGTGGATCTCCCAGCACAGCACTAGAGCTCTGCTAAGGGACAGACTGCCTCCTCAAGTGGGTTCCTGACCCCCATGCCTCCTGACTGGGAGACACCTCCCAGCAGGAGTCGATAGACATCTCATACAGGAGAGCTCCAGCTGGCATCTGGCGGGTGCCCCTCTAGGACAAAGCTTCCAGAGGAAGGAAAAGGCAGCAATCTTTGCTGTTCTGCAGCCTCCACTGGTGATACCCAGGCAAACAGGGTCTGGAGTGGACCCCCAGCAAACTCCAGAAGACCTGCAGCAGAGGGGCCTATTAGAAGGAAAACTAACAAACAGAAAGGAATAGCATCAACATCAACAAAAAGGACGTCCACACAAAATCCCCATCCGAAGGTCACCAACATCAAAGACCAAAGGTAGATAAATCCACAAAGATGAGGAAAAACCAGCACAAAAAGGCTGAAAATTCCAAAAACCAGAATGCCTCTTCTCCTCTAAAGGATCACAACTCCTCGCCAGCAAGGGAATAAAACTGGATGGAGAATTAATTTGATGAAATTGACAGAAGTAGGCTTCAGAAAGTGGGTAATAACAAACTACTCCGAGCTAAAGAGGCATGTTCTAACCCAATACAAGGAAACTAAGAACCCTGAAAAAAGGTTAGAGGAATTGCTAACTAAAGGAAAAATAAGCAGGGGTTGCAATCCTAGTCTCTAACCAGTTTAGAGAAGAACATAAATGACCTGATGAAGCTGAAAAACACCGCACAAGAACTTCATGAAGTGTACACAGTATCAATAGCCGAATCGATCAGGTGGAAGAAAGGATATTAACCTTAAATGTAAATGTGCTAAATGCCCCAAATAAAAGACACAGACTGGCAAATTGGATAGAGTCAAGACCCATCAGTGTGCTGTATTCAGGAGACCCATACCATGTGCAAAGACACACACAGGCTCAAAATAAAGGGATGGAGGAATATTTATCAAGCAAATGGAAAGGAAAAATAAGCAGGGGTTGCAATCCTAGTCTCTAATAAAACAGACTTTAAACCAACAAAGATAAAAAAAGACAAAGAAGGGAATTACAAAATGGTAAAGGGATCATTGCAACAAGAAGAGCTAACTATCCTAAATAGAGGGACTCCTCCCTAATTCATTTAATGAGGCCAGCATCATCCTGATACCAAAACCTGGCAGAAACACAACAAAAAAAGAAAATTTCAGGCCAATATCCCTGATGAACATCAATGCGAAAATCCTGAATAAAATACTGGCAAACCGATTCCAGCAGTACATCAAAAAGATTATCCACTGAGATCAAGTTGGCTTCATCTCTGGGATGCAAGCCTGGTTCAACATACACAATACCCAATACAGCTGCACCCAGATTCATAAAGCAAGTTCTTAGAGACCTACAAAGAAACTTAGACTCCCACACAATAATAGCGGAAGACTTTAAAACCCCACTGTCAATATCAGACAGATGAATGAGACAGAAAATTAACAAGGGTATTCAGGACTTGAACTCAGCTCTGGACCAAGCAGACCTAATAGACATCTACAGAACTCTCCACTACAAATCAACAGAATATACATTCTTCTCAGCACCACATCGCACTTATTCTAAAATTGACCACATAGTTGGAAGTAAAACGCTCCTCAGCAAATACTAAAGAACAGAAATCATAACAAACAGTCTCTCAGACTACAGTGCAATAAAATTAGAACTCAGGATTAAGAAACTCACTCAAAACCACACAACTACATGGAAACTGAACAACCCGCTCCTGAATGACTACTGGATAAATAACGAAATTAAGGCAGAAATAAACTCACGCCTGTAATCCCAGCACTTTGGGAGGCCGAGGCGGGCGGATCACGAGGTCAGGAGATCCAGACCACCCTGGCTAACACAGTGAAACCCTGTCTCTACTAAAAAGACAAAAAAGTTAGCTGGGCGTGGTGGCAAGCGCCTGTAGTCCCAGCTACTCGGGAGGCTGAGGTAGGAGAATGGCGTGAACCCGGGAGGCGGAGCTTGCAGTGAGCCGAGACTGCGCCACTGCACCTCCAGCCTCGGCGACAGAACGAGACTCCGTCTCAAAAAAATAAATAAATAAATAAATAAATAAATACATAAATAAATAAATAAGTTCTTTGAAACCAATAAGAACAAAGACACAATGTACCAGAATCTCTGGGACACAGCTAAAGCAGCATTTAAAAGGAAATTTACAGCACTAAATGCCCACAGGGGAAAGTGGGAAAGATCTAAAATTGACACTCTAATATCACAATTAAAAGAACTAGAGAAGCAAGAGCAAACAAATTCAAAAGCTAGCAGAAGACAAGAAATAACTTAAGATCAGACCAGAACTGAAGGAGATACAGATACAAAAAACTCTCCAAAAGAATCCAGGAGCTGGTTTTCTGAAAAGATTAACAAAATAGACTGCTAATAAAGAAGAACAGAGAGAAGAATCAAACAGACATAATAAAAAATGATAAAGGGGATATCACCACTGATCCCACAGAAATACAAACTATCATCAGAGAATACTATAAACACCTTTACGCAAATAAACTAGAAAATCCAGAAGAAATGGATAAATTGCTGGACACATATACCCACCCAAGACTACACCAGGAAAAAGTCGAATCCCTGAATAGACCAATAACAAGTTCTGAAATTGAGCTAGTAATTAATAGCCTACCAACCAAAAAAGCCCAGGACCTGAAGAATTTGCAGTTGAATTCCACCAGAGGTACAAAGAGGAGGCAGTACCATTCCTTCTGAAACCATTCCAAACAACAGAAAAAGACGGACTCCTCCCTAACTCATTTAATGAGGCCAGCATCATCCTGATACCAAAACCTGGCAGAAACAACAAAAAAAGAAAATTTCAGGCCAATATTCCTGATGAACATCGATGCAAAAATCCTGAATAAAATACTGGCAAACTGATTCCAACAGTACATCAAAAAGCTTATCCACCGAGATCAAGTTGGCTTCATCTCTGGGATGCAAGGCTGATTCAACATACACAAATTACTAAACGTAATCCATCACATAAACAGAACCAATAACAAAAACTACATGATTATCTCAATAGATGCAGAAAAGGCCTTTGATAAAATTCAACACCCCTTCATGCTAAAAACTCTTAATAAACTAGGTATTTATGCAACGTATCTCAAAATAATAAGAGCTGTTTATGACACACAGCCAATATCATACTGAATGGGCAAAACCTGGAAACGTTCCCTTTGAAAACCAGCACAAGACAAGGATGCCCTCTCTCACCACTCCTATTCAACATAGTATTGGAAGTTCTGGCCACGGCAATCAGGCAAGAGAAAGAAATAAAGGGTATTCAAATAGGAAGAGAGGAAATCAAATTGTCTCTGTTTGCAGATGACATGACTGTATATTTAGAACACCCCATCGTCTCAGCCCAAAATCTCCTTAAGCTGATAAGCAACTTCAGCAAAGTCTCAGGACACAAAATCAATGTGCAAAAATCACAGGCACTCCTATACACCAATAATAGACAGAGAGCCAAATTATGAGTGAACTCCCATTCACAATTGCTACAAAGAGATTAAAATACCTAGAAATACAACTTACAAGGGATGTGAAGGACCTCTTCAAGGAGAACTACAAACCACTGCGCAAGGAAAAAAGACAGGACACAAACAAACAGAAAAAAACATTCCATGCTCATGGATAGGAGGAATCAATATTGTGAAAATGGCCATACTGCCCTAAGTAATTTATAGATTCAATGCTATCCCCCCCATCAAGCTACCACTGACTTTCTTCACAAAATTAGAAAAAAACTACTTTAAATTTCATATGGAACCAAAAAAGAGCCCATATGGCCAAAATAATCCTAAGCAAAAAGAACAAAGCTGGAGGCATCACGCTACCTGACTTCAAACTATACTACAAGACTATAGTAACCAAAACAGCATGGTACTGGTACCAAAACAAATATATAGACCAATGGAACAAAAAAGAACCCTCAGCAATAACGTCACACATCTACAACCATCTGTTCTTTGACAAATCTGACAAAAACAAGCAATGGGGAAAGGATTTCCTATTTAATAAATGGTGTTGGGAAAACTGGCTAGCCATATGCAGAAAACTGAAACTGGACCCCTTCCTTACATCTTATACAAAAATTAACTCAAGATGGATTAAAGACTTAAACATAAGACCTAAAACCATAACAACCCTAAAAGAAAACCTAGGCGATACCATTCAGGACATAGGCATGGGCAAAGACTTCATGACTAAAACACCAAAAGCAATGGCAACAAAAGCAAAAATTGGCAAATGGGATCTAACTAAACTAAAGAGCTTCTGCACAGGAAAAGAAACTATCATTAGACTTAACAGGCAACCTATAGAATGGGAGAAAAATTTTGCAATCTATCCATCTGACAAAGGGCTAATATCCAGAATCTACAACGAACTTAAACAAATTTACAAGAAAAAAACCACCCCATCAAAAAGTGGGTGAAGGATATAAACAGACACTTCTCAAAAGAAGACATTTATGCGGCCAACAAACATGAAAAAAAGCTCATCATCACTGGTCATTAGAGAAACACAATCAAAACCACAATGAGATACAATCTCACGCTAGTTAGAATGGCGATCATTAAAAAGTCAGGAAACAACAGATGCTGGAGAGGATGTGGAGAAACTGGAACACTTTTTGGAACACTTTAACGCTGTTGGTGGGAGTGTAAATTAGTTCAACCATTGTGGAAGACAGTGTGGTGATTCCTCAAGGATCTAGAACCAGAAACACCATTTGACCCAGCAATCCCATTACTGGGTATATACTCAGAGACTACTATAAAGACACATGCACACGTATGTTTATTGCAGCACTATTCACAATAGCAAAGACTTGGAACCAACCCAAATGCCCATCAATGATAGACTGGATAAAGAAAATGTGGCACCATGGAATATTATGCTGCCATAAAAAAGAATGAGTTCATGTCCTTTGCAGGGATATGAAGCTGGAAGCCATCATTCTCAGCAAACTAACAAAGGAACAGAAAACCAAACACCACATGTTCTCACTCATAAATGGGAGTTGAACAATGAGAACACATGGACAAAGGGAGGGGAACATCACACACACTGGGGCCTGTCAGGGGGTGGAAGGCTAGGGGAGGGATAGCATTAGGAGAAATACCTAATGTGGATGATGGGTTGATGGGTGCAGCGAACCACTATGGCACGTGTATACCTATGTATCAAACCTGCATGTGCTGTACATGTATCCCAGAACTTAAAGTATAATAGAAAAAAAACAAAAACAAACCAGTAGACCAGTTATTTCACCAAAACATCCTACAAGAAAAAAGGTCCAAGTTAACTCACTGAATTTAGAAGTTTTAAAAACTCTTCTAGCAGCTATTTATGTAATAGAAACTTCTGTAAACGCTGCCGTCAGGTCAGCTGTAAATATAAACTTTGCTTACATTCTTCCCCAATTTTTTGCTTAGGAAAGTACTAAAGAGTTAAAAGTATTTATTTATTTATTTATTTATTTATTTATTTATTTATTTATTGAGATGGTGTCTCACCCTGTCGCCCAGGCTGGAGTGCAACGGCACGATCTTGGCTCACAACAACCTCCGCCTCCCAGGTTCAAGTGGTTCTCCCGCCTCAGCCTCCTGAGTAGCTGGGATTACAGGCATGTGCCACCACGCGCAGCTAATGTTGTATTTTTAGTACAGACGTGGTTTCTCCATATTGGTCAGGCTGGTCTTGAACTCCCGACCTCAGGTGATCCGCCCACCTCAGCCTCCCAAAGTGCTGGGATTACAGGTGTGAGCCACTGCGCCTGGCCAACACTATTTTCTAAAACTAAAAATCATATCTATTTGGTGGAAGGAATACTGAACAAAATCCCATACTGTTTCCATAATAATGTCTTTGACATTAAAGCAGAGGCATTCATTTGCTATTCTAAGAACATTTCTAAGCAACTATTTTGTACCAGACACTGTGCAAGTTGGGCTATGTGTTGAAAGTATAGAAAAAATCATATGTATTCCATGTCTTTAAGAAGCTCCATTTAGATTTGCTGAAAGCTGAGTTGTGACACATCACTCTACTGGCAGTAACTGGTACAAGAAGCAAGAGGGCCTGAGGGCTAACAGTGCCAATAATCCCTAAGGACTTCATGCCAGGAAAAATGGACTGTTCCATTTTTAAATAGAAGTTACCCAACTCTGAATTTTTGGGGCAAGTTACTTAAACAGTCTCTCTTTCGAATTCAAGGAAATCCTGGGACATTATATTTTTATTAAAATTTATGAGATTTTTACAAAGGAATATAAGTGATCATTTATGCTAGTCAGCTTTTGTTCTAAGGTCAGAATTCTCAAAAAATAAAACTTTATTACTCTACCACAAACTTCTGAAAAACCTCCTCAAACTGCTGTGTTTTATTTTGCCCTGAAGGACGAAAAGTATCTAACAACTATTATTTTTTTAAAGTCCTTCCAGATGAAACACTGTGGACTACAGTTTCTAGAACAACAAAATTTCACTTTACATTCCCCATACTAAACTTGAAGTTTTTCCCAAAGTGGATTCCTAGTGCAATATTCTTAAGTCTTTATTTTACTCAGCGACCATCATCCACTCATGTCTCTTCCTGCCCCTTAGTACTGCCAAAATACAAAATGTAGCTAGAAAACCAAAGATGCAAAAAAGCTTTACAGGTGCTCGGTCACTAGGGTAAATGAGGATATACTGAATTCCTTAAAAATACAAAGAGAGTGGATGCTGAGTGCACCCATCACAAAAATAACTGTGTGAGGTAATACATTTGTTAATTAGCAAGAGTTAATCATTTCACAATGTATGTGCACCTCAAAACGTCATGCTGTATGTGACAAACATATACAATGTTATTTGTCAAATTAAAAAAAATAAATTTAAGCTTAACCCAGGAAAAAAAAAGCTTTACAGGAACAGTCTATTCAATTTCAAATGAAGCAAGTTTACTTCTTCATTTTGCATCTCCTTTCCTTTGATTGACATGTGACAGTTTTTAAGAGTCATCCAAACGAGTGTGTGCTGAATGACCCATGACAGACAGAACTGACAGGAGGCTGGGAAACATTTGAGAAAACAGTGTGTGCTTAAGAAAGCTCCTCCTCCAATTAATCAAATCCGGTAAACAAGAGGTCTTTATATACTCCCGTTAAAGACAATGTTCAGCACTAAAGAAATGCTTTAGTTAGCTATTTAAAAACCTATGTGTTCTAGCTCCTGATCACAGACAAGTACATAGAACAAATAATATTGGAAGAAGACTTTGAAAAAGATATTTTCATAAGCACATTCTTTTAAAAATACATACTTCAAACATCAGAAGATTTTTATTTTGTAGATGCATAAACTTGTAAAATAAATAATTCATTGTGCCTATAAGGCTCTGGGATTAAGATGGCAAAGGGCATCAGCACTGGAAGGATTTTTTCCAGATCCAGAAACACAGATTGAAGCATGGCCAGTGGTCATAAGAGGGAAAAAAATAAACAGGAAGACATTCTCTTTGCAAATCCTCCTCCTCTGATAAAGCATATGGAAGGTACGCTGAAGATTCCTTTACTGCTAACTCAGTATTTAAGCATCAGATTTGCATGAACCTATTATCAATTATCAAGCCAACTTGACAGAAGGATCCTTGGGACAATGATTGTCTTATTTGTTCTGCACAAGACAAATGTAAACTAATTTTTAAAACCCAACATTCCAGGGCTTCAATAGCCTTACTCAAGTCATGGACCTTCTCGGGTATCAAATGAGTGCCCATGTTGTTCAGTGAGGTCTCCCCATTCTGGATGGCCTCAATTCTTATGTTCCCAAGACACTGTGTAACCCCTGGAATCTCCATTCACCTCACAAATCTTTAGCAGCTTTTCTGTCCCAGCCCTCATTGGATCTTGGCTTACATATGTGCACCTTAACATTTGGCAAACAATTTTTTTTTGCAGAGAAATAAAGTCAGTTTATTCTGTCAAGGATCTCCTACCTCTAAAAACAGATAATAATTTCATAAATTTTTAAAGGGTCAATGTTCTCAGATTTCCTATACAATCAATTATGTGTTAGAATCAATTTAATCAATCACCTCCTTTGCAGGGCTAACTCTCAATTAGAATGTCAAGGGTCTCCAGTTGACTTAAACTTTTGGCCCAGAGGTGTTTATGTCAGCAAGATCTGAAATCTGATATGCTCCAGAATCAAGCCTTTCTTGCCTATTTGCATTTTTTTTCTTTTTTTTTTTAATTATACTTTAAGTTCTTGGGCACATGTGCACAATGTGCAGGTTTGTTACACATGTATACATGTGTCATGTTGGTTTGCTGCACCCATTCACTCGTCATTTACATTAGGTATTTCTCCTAATGCTATCCCTCCCCGCTCCCCCCACCCCACGACAGGCCCCGGTGTGTGATGTTCCCCGCCCTGTGTCCACGTGTTCTCATCGTTCAATTCCCACCTATGACTGAGAACATGTGCAGTGTTTGGTTTTCTGTCCTTGCGATAGGTTTGCTCAGAATGATGGTTTCCAGCTTCATCCATGTCCCTACAAAGGACATGAACTCATCCTTTTTTATGGATGCTTAGTATTCCATGGCGTATATGTGCCACATTTTCTTTATCCAGTCTATCACTGATGGACATCTGGGTTGGTTCCAAGTCTTTGCTATTGTGAATAGTGAATATATGGCAACCAATTTTAGACAGCTGCAGGACTATGATTCCAGGGAGAGGGAAACTACATAGAATAAGCCTCAAAATTGCCCCAGCTTTCTGTCTGAGAACACTTTCTAGACTGTGGCACCAGGAGGTAACCCAAGCAGGACATAGTAATCTTACTGAGCTGGAGAAACAGACTGGAGGTTGGGATTCCTGAAGGTTTTAAGAGTATGATATCAGAGAGAATGAAGCTCTGAAGAGCAGTATTCCAGTTACTCATATAAGTGACATCTTAAGCATTTAGCTAAATACTAAGCTGCACATACCCAGGGCACCAAGACAAGACAACACAAGGCCAGGGGAAAAAAAAAAAACAAAAAAAAAAAACAGCTGCCTGTGAGTTGGCAGCTACCCAGAGATTCCTGAGATTACACAAAGCTGGGAGACATAGGACGTCCTACCAATCATACTGAAGAGACCTCGTTGAACACCCCGGATACTCTGCTGATACCCAGAAAGGGGTAGAAGTGAGCTATTCTAGTCCTGGAGAAAGGATTACACTACCCCCACCCTAACAAAATTTTAAAAAATAATCCTTACTCAGATGGGTTCACTGATGAATTCTATCAAACATTTAAGGAAGAAATTATACCAATTCTCTATAATCTTTTCCAGAAAATAGAAGCGGAGGGAATACTTCCTAAATAATTCTATGAAACCAGCATAACCTTAATTCCAAAACCAGACAAAGACATTACAAGAAAATGACAGATCAGTATTTCTCATGAACACAGATGCAAAAATTCTCAAAAAAGCTAGGAAATCAAGTCTAACAATCTATAAGAAGAATTATACACCATAGCCAAATATAATATATCTCAGGTATGCAAGTCTGGTTCAACATTCAAAAAATCAATTAATGGAATCTATCACATCAACAAGCTAAAAAAGAAAAAAAAAATCACATAGTCCTAGCTGCAGAAAAAGCACTTGACAAAATCTAACTAACACTCATTCATGATAAAAATTCTCAATAAACTAAGAACAAACGGGAAACATCCTCAAGGTGATTAAAAACATCTACAAAAACCCTACAGCTAACATAACATTTAATGGTAAGAAACCAGAATATTTCCCACTAAGATCAGAAACAAGACAAGGATGTCCCTTCTTACCACCACTCAACATCATACTGGAAGTACCACCTAATGCAGTAAGAAAAGAAAAGTTATATAAGATTGTGAGGTGTATTAGTCCATTTTCACACCGCTATAAAGAACTTCCTATGACTGGGTAATTTATGAAGGAAAGAGGTTTAACTGACTCACAGTTCCACATGGCTGGGGAGGCCTCAGGAAACTTACAATCATGATAGAAGGGGAAGCAGGCATGACTTACATGGTGGCAGGTGAGAGAGAGTGTGTGTCTAAGTGCAGGAAAAACTACCATTTATAAAACCATCAGATCTTGTTAGAATTTACTCACTATGAGGAGAACAGCATAGGGGAAACCACCCCCATGATCCAATCACCTCTCACCAGGTCTCTCCCTCAAGACCTGATGATTACAATTCATGATGAGATTTGGGTGGGGACACAAGGCCTAACCTTATCATGAGGAAAGAAAGAAAACTCTTTGTTCACAGATAATATGATCGTCTATGTAGAAAATTCAAAAGAATTGATTAAAAAACTCCTGGAACTAATACGTGATCACAGCAAGGTTGTAGGACACAAGGTTAATATACAAAAGTAAACTGTTTTCCTATATGCCAGCAATAAATAAGTGGTATTTAAAATTAAAAACACAGTACATTTACATTAGCACCCTCCAAAAGCTTAAAGTATAAATCTAATAAGATATGTATAAGATCTATAAGAAGAAAACTACAATACTCTATTGATAGAAATCAAAGAACTAAGAGGAGAGATATTTCATGTATGTGGGTAGGATGACTCAATACTGTCAAGATGTCAGTTCTTCCCATCTATAGATTCAACACAATCCCAATTAAAATTCTAAAGTTTATATAGAGAGCTAATTAGACCCAGAACAGCCAACACAGTATTAAAAGAGAATGAAGTCAAAGAACTGACACTATCTAACTTTTAAGACATACTACACTAAGCATAGTAATCAAGACACTGCAGTATTGGTTTAAAAAAAAAAAAAAAAAGACAAATAGATCAATGGAATAGAAAGCACCAAAAGACCCATATACATAGAGTCAACTGATCTTTGACAAAAGAGCAAAGGCAATACAATGGAGAAAAGGTATCTTTGCAACAGGTGGTGCTGGAACAACTGGACATCAACTTGCAAAATAATGAATGTAGACACAGATCTTACACCCTTAACAAAAGTAAATCAAAATGAATCATAAGACAGACATGGTGGTACATGTTGATATTCCCAGCTACTCAGGAGCCTGAGATGGGAAGATCACCTGAGCTCAGGAGGCGGAGGTTGCAGTGAACCAAGATCGTGCCACTGCACTACAATCTGGGCGATAGACTAAGACTCTGTCTCAAAAACAAAGACAAAAAATGAAACAAACTCACATCAAAATGAATCATAGACCTAAATGTAAAACATGAAACCATAAAACTAGGCAATAACATAGGAGAAAATCTAACTAAACTTGGATATGGCAATGACTTTTTTAGATACAACAATAAAGGCACAATTCATAATAGAAATAATTGATATGGATTTTGTTAAAATTTAGTGTCTTTATGATACTATAAATAGTGAATATAGGTTATTATCTGTTTGTCTAAACCCATAATGTGTAACATTATACCATAATGTAAACTATTAACTTTGACTGATAATGATATGCATTCATCAATTGTAACAAATGTGCCATTCTGGTGCAGAATGTTGAGACTGGAGGGGGCTGTGCATATGTGGCAGGAAGATTTATATGGTAACTCTCTGTAGTTTTTGCTCTGTTGCGAACCTAAAACTGCTTTAAAAATAAGTCTTGAAAAAAATCCCTATATGATTCATTCTGATCTGATAGTCTGATCTGAGAGTTAATTATCTGATTACCAGAAGAAAATTCAATACTCTTTAAAGGAAGACAACAAAATTTGTATTTTCAACAACACAGAGCATCCACAATATCCACCATGTAATAAAACTAGCTAGACATACAAAAATGCAGGCACATGTGACCAATAACAGAATAATGGGTCAACTTATCCAGCAGAAACCAAACTAGGATGACCCAGATGTTGGAAACAGCAGACAAGAACTTTAAAGTGGCTCCAGGACTTAAAGGCAAATATGGTCCCAAATCAATGAATAGATGGTAAACAGCAGTAAAGGAATTAAAGCTTTAATAAACAAAGAATAAAGAAATACAGCATCTGAAATAAAATTATTGAATGGGCTTAACAGCAGATTGGAGTAGAAAAATAAATAAATCAGTGAACACGAAGAGAGATATGCAGAAATTATCCTATCTGAAGACCAGAAATAAAAAAAGAAGGAGAGGCGAGGATGGGGGGTATAAAAGAACCTTAATGAACTGTGGGACAAGATCACAATGCACAACTATATGTAACTGGAGTCCTGAGAGGGAAAGAGAGAATAGGGCAGATAAATATTTGAAGTAGTAACAAAACTTTCCCCAATTTTTTCAAAAACATAACATAATGTAAAGATGCAAGAAGCTCAGTGAACCCTAAGAAGGACAAAAACAAAGAAAACTATACCTAGAAACTTTATGGTCAAACTGCTGGAAAACAAAGATAAAGGGAAAATTGTCAAAGTAGCCAGAGAGAATGTACATGTTATATATGGAGGAACAACAATATGAGTAATGGTTAACTTTTTATCAGAAACAACAGAGGCCAGGAGACAATGAAACGGTATCTTTAAAGTGCTGCACACACACATACACACACCACAACCACTTGTCAACCTCAAATTCTATATCTTTAAAGATAACGGAAAAGGGATTTTTAGATAAATGAGATCTCATTGCCAGCAGACCTACACTACAAAAAAATTTTAAAGGGAATTTTGCAGACTAAAGGAAATTGACACCAGCTGGAAAATATATGGGTAAATATAAAATTGTGCGTGTTTATTCTAATTTTACTTAAAAGACATAAAACCAGAAAGCAAAAAGTAAAACATGGTATTCTAGGACATATATATATATATATATAAAACAATTGATGAATGCATATATATATATATGCATATATATATAGCACAAAGAAGGAGGTGAGGTGGTAAAATATTAACCACTGTTGACTGAGAAGATATGACTGTGTATTATAATCCCTAGAGTAACCACTTTAAAAAAAATGCAAAGAAGTATAGCTGAAAAGTCAACAGAATTAAAATGAAAAACTAAAAATGATTTGATTTTCTGCCAAAATAAGGCAGAAAAGGAACAAGAAATGATCAAAAAGCAGATGGGACAAACAAAGCAAACAGCAAAACTGTAGACCTTAATTCAGTTATATTAATACTTATATTAAATGTTAGTAAAAACTCCAACTAAAAAGCAAAAATTGTCTATAAAGACTGTATCACTTAAAATCTTTGCATTTTTTTCTGCAGGTAGATCATACCGAAAAAAAAAAAGAACCATAAGTAAAAAATACAACCTAAGTTTCTAACCTGGTAGGCCAGATAATCAGTTTAGAAGACAACAGCAGTGCCCTTAACATCTGTCTCTCGGGTTTCATAGCTAGTGGCCGGGGTGCAAAATATAGAACACTTCTGGTTTTTGTCCACTGCAATCTGATAGCAGATGTCCTCCCCAGATGTCTCACCTCCTGACTCTAAAAGGTAATCCTTTTCTATATAAAGTATTTTGTAAAGCCAGAATCATTCTCAGCATAGCTTCTGTAGACCACATAGGTAGTCAGTTAATGACACAAGCTTGCTAGTTAGCTGCTTGTTTGGTTCTCATTCCATAAATAGACGTTAAGATACTGATCCTGCCTTTAAAAGTTTCTGGTGATGATTAAAATTTAAACAAAATATATAACTTCTTTATGAATCATGAAACTAAAAAAATGAGTCTTTTTGTATGTTATCTAAGAGTCCTGTGTTTAAATTTTAATGCAGACAAACTTTCATTCTTTCCTCCAGTAGGTGTTCTTATGTCCCCTAGTGGATACAGGTCGATATGGTGGACGAATGATAGGGCAATACTGGCTAAGTAAAGGTTCATAAATCCTAAATGTCTGCCTTGCCCACATATTTTTCCAAACCAGTACCTTGCACTATTCTAATTTACCATAAACAAAGAAAACATTAGTATATCTGAACTGGACCACACCTATCTGCCCCCATGTGTGGTCACTGGGCTAAAACATAGTTCTGGCTCATGACATATGCATGAACAAATGCACACCAATTAGCTACACATTTTGACCTGACATAATACAAAGGAGTTGACATTTCCACTGTAAATCTCTATTTTTAGAGATTTATAGCTTAGTCATAAAAGTGGACTTTAGAAAAATCAAGAGTGCAAACTTTTAGCCATAAGAAAGAATTTTTCCCTTCTAATAAATTAAAACAGTGTGTAGAAAATCTGATCTGAAACTATGGTTCTGTGTGAGAGAGACAGAAAGAGAGAGACAGAAATAGAGGGAAGGAGGGAGGGAAGGCAGGGAGGCATCCTCCTGGTGTTCAGAAATTTTGACAGCCATGTTTAAATTATTTGTCTGTTTGAGGAGACAGAGGTTGGAGAAAAAAAGAGTATTAACGCATAATAATAAAAAAAGGCTTTTCTTCTCCACATGTAGAAAAAAGGCTCTTTCCTAATGTTTCCAGTAGTAAGTTCTAAAGATACATTTTCTCTTCCCAAATACACATACATGTATGTGGCCACACATGTAGTCAGATGTGAACTGGCTTCCAGCCCATTATTATTATAGACAGTAAACCTTTCAAATTAGACCTGAGGCTGACACTGCCAGGACAGGATCCACATTAATGTGGAGTCAGAGAGTTAATATGGAAAGGAAAGGTTTCCTTTCGCTTCCATGTCCCATCTCTACATAACCATGGCGACAGAGCCCAGGCACTCCATGTGATCTGCAATGATCCTCCACACCTAGCCTCATGCACTGGTGGCAGTGAAGACCAGGCTGCAAAACTCTGCCTCCCATACTGTTCCTATCCCCATTTCCTATTTTATCCATAGTATTTATTATCACCTGATGCACACAGGTGTGTATGTGTGTAAGTAAATAAATATGATTTGTTATTGTATCCTGGTACATAGTACGTACTCACTCTAACTGCTGCTTTAATTTTATTTCCTTAAGTACTGGTTTAGTTGAAGATCTCTTTGTTCATTTGCTGGCCATTTAGACTTTTCTTTGTATTCCCACTTCTTAACACCATGCTTCTTAGTACATAGTAGCTACTCAATAAATTGGGTAAAGGAAGGAAAAACCAGGGACAAATTTCTAACAGTTCGGCTTTTGGATTCTTCTTGCTGAAGCTGGGAATTTGGTTTAAGAAAAAGAATTGCCCTAAAATAGGAGGAGATACTGGTGACGTGGCATTGCTTGAGGGCATTACAGCAGCACAATCTCAATTCCTATTATAGAAACGCTTTCTTAGCAGGCATCAATCAACAGCAAACTCAGAAATTTTAAAGTGAAATTTAAGATGTCCTAACATGTTAAGACTGACCATAGCCATAGGCCCTCCCACTCCAAGCTGCCAAATTCTCATGCCAATACTTTCTGGGTAGGTTTTTAGGTCAATAAAGAGTTCCTGTTAACTCACACCCTAGTCAGACTAATCTCTGATGCTTTAATTGGAAATGTTTAAGTCTTTCTTTTCCTGGGAACTCAAAACTTAAGCTTCTGTCGCTTCAAACATGAACTAAAGTACAGCATCTTGTCATACAATAAAAAGATACCAAAGAAGCTGGGAGATTTAGAACCGGTATGCAAAGACACACTAGGAAGTCCTGACATGTCAGCTCCCAGGTCAAGCCTTATGAAACTCATTTATGGGATGTCATTTACCACAGACAGATTCTCTATCTTATAACTGACATGGTCAGAAACCAATTAAGCACCTCTAACAGAAAGGTCCAACAGCATACGTTGGTACAGACACATACCTTGATGCAATTAATAGATATGGGAAAAAACTTATATGAAAATGTTGCCTTTAGACATAATCTTTTCTTTAATGTTCATTGTAGTAGGACTCATTTTCCTGCAATATCTCCCGTTCTGGGAGAATTAGGTGAAACCACACCCATTTGACCCACAGACTAACTGTGCCGTGGACAACGGCTAGGTCACAGAGTTAAAGAAAATACAAATTGAAGAATTCTGGAATTTAGAAAAGAGATATGGATATTACTAACTCCTCTTTACCAGGGAGAGAATCCTACGGTATAGGAACCAAATGTTGGTCCTTAAAGAAACAGCTATATGAGCAAGATCAGGACTCAGATAATTCATCTTATTCATTCTCAACCCATCAAGGGAATATTCTATTGGAGTAAATCTCAGCTTAGAACTGACAGTTTATTTTAAGTAAGTTTGGGTTTTAAAGTGAATCAGCAACTTATTTCCATTTTAGTTTGAGAGTTTTCTGACACTGAGAAGAAATGGAGATAAGGCAGTCTAGCTACCTTTACATGCCACCCTTTTATAATATTCTAACAAAATTTCTTTCCTTCTCTGGAGGCAGTAGTGTCTCGTCCCTAAAAGTAAGTTTGTAATAAATATCTACTGTTTTGAATGGCCACACGTAGTAACAAGCTACAGTGCTGAAATTGAAAGGAGGGCAATCTGGCTGAGACATAACCAAAAAAAGGGGAAAGTACTAAGAAATAAGGCTGGAGAGTAGACAAGCTCTTGTAAGTCTCCATGGCAAGGAGTTTGAATTTTATTCCAGAGACAACGGGAACAGAGATGGGATCTGACATACTTTTTAAAAATTATGCTGTAGAAAATGGATTTTAAAAAGACAAAAGTGAAAACAGGAAGTCCTGGTAAGAGACTTTCTCAGTATATCAAGAGGGAGATGATGGCTGCCTAGAGTCAGGTAGCTGGAGGAAAAAGAGGGAAAGAAGCAGATGGAGTTAATAGTAGAGAATGATGAAGCAAAAGGAAGAATAAAGAATCTTAATAACAAGAAGTTTTTAATGACAACAGGTTTGCAGTTTTACTAATTGGGCAGATGATGATGCCATTAATAGAAACAGGGAAGGATAAGACAGTACTGCGGTTTTAATTTTAAAATTTTGGTGGGGGGGATTAGTGGAGGGACGTCAACAGTTTTTTTCTAGACATGTTAAGTTTGAGAAGCCTATTAGACTTCCAAATTGAAAGGTTAAGATGGCAGGTGGACATATGGAGTTTGGAGTTCAGGGACGAGATCAATGGTGTTTAAGGTAGAAACTGTCTAGCATGCAGATGGGAAGAACACTGTAAACATCTAAAACTTTGGCAGACAGGCAGGGTGTGGTAGGGAGAAGAACCAGTAACATCAGGGAATAAAGTGGAAATGTGTATACTGTAAGCAGCTAAGTAAACAAAGAAAAACAAAACAACTCTTTTGCAGTGGTTATATGCAAATAGTTCTGAAGTTATTTTGAAAAAAAAAAAAAAAAAGAGGTGATAACTACCCACTAGTTTTACAAAGAGTGTTGCTTCCAGATTTTTTCTTACGCATATCTAGTAATTTTCATCAGACCAGGCGCTTAATCTTTAATGACAGGTACTCCATAAATGTCTATTACAGGGCTGAATTTCCAGAGAAATATTCATAATCTGGTGCAGCTGTTTTTTATTCTAAGGGGCAAAATACAAAATGTTACAGAGAATCTACAGGAAGTTTTAAAGTTCTTCAACAGCTCTACATAAGAAAATCCATTTTACAGTACTAACACCAGAACATATTAATATTTATACTGGCCAGGAGCAGTGGCTCACACCTATAATACCATAACTTTGGAAGGACAAGGCGTGAGGATCTCTTGAGGTCAGGAGCTTGAGACCAGCCTGGGCAACATAGTGAGACCCTAACTTTACAAAAAAAATTAAAAATTACCTGGGTGTGGTGGTGCACCTGTAGTCCTAGCTACTCAGGAGACTGAGGTGGGAGAGTCACTTGAGCCTAGAAGTTAGAGATAACAATAACAAGCTTATCATTTCTTTACCAAAATATCCACATAACTTTAGTAAAGAAATAAGCTTGTTAATATGTAAAGACATGGAAACCTCCTGTATACACTTGGGTGAAGGTGGGACAGTGGTAATTTTTTTTAAATCTTTTTTCCTTCTTTTCCCAAAGAATCACTTTTAACTTTTCAGGGTAAGTTTAAAATAGCTTTGCTTTGAATGAATCCTTTTTGTTCATTATTTAAAAATCAAAATATGCAAATAAATAGACAAAGGACCACACTATACTGGTTCAAAGTTCTTTATCCTTCTTCTTTAGTTAAAAATAATCACATACATATGTTAGTTGGCATCATAATTGGGATAATTTCAATAATCTTTTTCTCTAAATTTCCTCTGAATGTACTTCTCAACTGCTCAAATACTAATGCTCTTCTGCACTGGCATCAGAAGCCACTCAAGTTGGGGAACTCCTTTGGTATCAGTAAGAGACAAAGCCTCTGGCCCTGTGACCACTCAACGTTCATTCAGCAAAGGCAACCTTCTGGCATGAAAGTAAGCCTTCAGAAGTCAGTCAGAAAGAATGATGCAAAATTTCTTGAAAACTTTGCCAGATGATGAACATAAAAAGTAGAGGGCAAAATAACATTGTCAAATTTGCTCTCCATTTTAGGAACTCAAGGCAAGACAAAAGTCATCCCGACCACAGTAGACAATGTTTCCATTGCTTTTAACTAATCCAGTAGAAAAAGCATCTAAAGTTTCAGGCATTTAAGAGTGACAATTGTCTTTCAGACAGTTGGAAAGGATGTGAAAAAACACTTGTTGGAATAAACGGAATGTGCCTTGGCTTCTGTGGTCAAAATTTCTGGGACTCAGCTGAAAAAAGATTCTGGCTTAAGACTTACATGGTTTTCATCACCCCATAAACATTAACATTATTGATGCAGATCTGTCACTTGAAATATTTTACCCATATCCTCCACTGCAAGGAATTTTCTTTTTACCCATTCATCTCTAGTGACAAATTTGTGGCATTTACAAATTTAAAAGGCTGTCAAAATCTAATAATGAAATCTTGGGGGGAGTCACATGGGGGCACAGATCAGAAGGAACCAAAATTAATTTTAGAGGATTTACTACATAGGTTAGGGGTCACAATGAGGCAAGTTTCTCTCTATAGTGTGAAATGCACAGAAGCAATATCTTCCCAGAGGTAAAAAAAAAAAAAAAAAAAAAAAAAAAAAGTAGAAAAGGAATTAGTGTTAGTCAAGCCACGGAACAAAGTCAGAAACATATTAAAGAAACCAATGTTAGACAGCATAGAAAAACCATGTTGTCAGTGACTTAAACCATGCCAGAGTCCATCATTGTTTTAATAATAGCTATTACTAAGAGTCATATATACTTTTCAACTACTGATAACTCACCTATGAAACGTTTTCATCTCAACAGACATTAAATTTAAAGGCTCAAGTTCTACAATTTTTCCCCAGTAAAGTTCAACAAAAATGGAAACATGGTTTAAAAAGTAAAGGCCAGGGTGTTTTCCCTTGCCAAATCCTCTATGATGTACCTGCTACTAGAGAAAGTTCAATGGCTAGGAACAGACGTTTGCCTCAAAACTTCAGTATTAGGTGTCTTGAGTAAGAAAAGTCAGAAGGAAGAAGTTGTAGGCTGACACATACATGATGGGGACACAGTTAAGTGGCTCCTGTCAGGCAGACCCTCTAGAGAGGTCTGACTTGGGATATGTCAGAGACCATATTGGACAGGATCTAGGGCATTAACTCAAAGTCAGAATATAAAACAGTTGCCTCCTAAGAACGAATTGACATGCCAAAGACTGATTCCCAGCAGGTTGGCTTCACACAGATGTTGGCCTTCTGCACAGTATGCCATGGGAACGACAGCATAAGCTAATCAATCCTGATAGAAAGCTGAGGTGCTGAATCAGGTCCCTGCTTCATAATGTCTTTAATGCTGGAACTGCAAGTCTTGAGACCCTAAGTCCCCATTATCATGCCTGGGGGAGAGCAGGGAGTCCCCTAACCATGTATACTGAGGTAGGAGAACAAGAGAAGAGGCAAAAATTCTGCCATACCCTACCACAATTGAATCTCCTTAATCCTTAAGGATCCTCCCAAATCATTAATTCTCACATCTTAAGGATTGGGGATCCTTTTCCCAAGTCTGAGTTTTCAAGTGTGAAGTCTGGTCCTAACAGTCCAATATTGAATAAGAAATCAAATATATAGCAAAAGATAATTTCCCAGAAGTGAAGGACATCTTTAGATTACAAAAGGTACAAGAAGTGTTCAACCCAATTAATAAAAAGACATGAGCATCTAGGCATATCAAGATGGAAAAAAAAAAACCCCACAGAACACCTACAAAAAAACAAAAACACCCCAAACTTCCAAAAATTAAAAACATAGGTCGCTCTCAAAGGAATGAGCATCAGACTGCCATCAATACCACTGGGTGGTAGAAGGCAAAAGAATGGATGCAAAGAAATCATTAAGGAAAAAATATTTGCAACCTAAAATTCTACATCCACTGAAACTATTATTCAAGCAGGAGGGCAAAATACCTTTTTCAACATGCATGAACTTAGAACATTTACTTCCTATACACCTCCAAACAGTCATCCATCAGTGGCAGGGTTTTACGTCCTTATTCTTTTCTAATTTTCTATGTACTACTAGTGTAATAAATGTTTTCTATCTGCATAATGAATACTTTCTCCTTAAAGAGTTTAAAGCAGAAATTACTTCTGTGACTTTCTTCCTTTTCCCATCACTTGTAAAAAATTACCTTTAAAATGGCATGTTGAGGTCGGGCGCAGTGGCTCACGCCTGTAATCCCAGCACTTTGGGAGGCTGAGGCAGGTGGATCACGAGGTCAAGAGATCAAGATCATCCTGGCCAACACGGTGAAACCCCGACTCTAATAAGAATACAAAAATTCTAGGCGTGGTGGCGGGCGCCTGTAGTCCCAGCTACTTGGGAGGCTGAGGCAGGAGAACTGCTTGAACTCAGGGAAGCAGAGGTTGCAGTGAGTCGAGATTGCGCCACTGCATTCCAGCCTGGCGACAGAGCGAGGCTCTATCTCAAAAACAAAAAAAAAAGAAAAGGCATGTCACATTTCCTAAATGGGTCAGATACAAAGAGTTAAGTGATTTAACCCTCATAAGGGTATTAAAAATTTTGGAACACATTATTTTCTGTTCCATATAGAAGGCAATTTTCTGCCTCTAATCAGAATCTCCCAAATTGGTTTCTTTTGCCAAAATAGAACCAAAAGGTAAACCAAAACATATATTTGAAGAATAGCCATTAGGCATATAAAACCATGAAAGTTGAATATCAAATTATTTAACAGACAGCTTTCTTTTTATACACTTAGATAGTTATTGTAGGGGTTATATTCCTGAATATGTTACGTAACAAAAGCTGAGTATATCAGAATTACACATTTTAAGCTAATATAATTTTATATAAGTGTACCATTCCTTGGGGCAGAGAATATTTACATCAAGTTTCCATAGTAAACAGTATTTTCTCTCCATATCTTAACATACAACATACAACTACTATACATTTAAAATAACATGGCTTATTGTTTAATAAGAGTATTAAAGGATGCATTTTTAATAATTTGTTGTTTAATGAGAGTATTAAATAATACCATGTCGTTTATGACATACAGAAACAGGAAAAGCAATTGTTACTGAGTCCTCTCTTCAATAAGATAAGATTATTACTGGTTAAAGACTTCCAGAGATGCTAAAATATAATCATTCTGCATATAACTTAGTTATCAATATTAAGAGCACAGATTTTGAATCCAGGTAGACTTAGTTTCAAATCTTGCCTCTACTATTAACAGATTCTTAATCTCTTTGTGCTTCAAGTTGTTTTATCTACGAAATGGGGAAAATAACAGCACCTAGCCATACAGAATTATTAGAACTAGATAGAATAATATATTTTATTATAAACTGGGTACTACAAAAAGGCTCAACAAAAAAACATTATGATCACCATGACCATTACCATATGCTGAGTAAGGAAAAAAACCCAAAATCCCAAACTTGGAGTGGACCATTCTACTATTATGACAAAGGTATTCAGCATTAGGCACAGAGCTGGAAAAATGCAACATTTGCATCTCAGAGGCCTGGGAGGTTACACAAATGTCGAAATCACACAGGCACAAGAGAAAGATGTCAAGGCTTAGGGTAAACTGGAAAGGCTTGTGCCCTAACGACCTTCAAATTTACATTATTTAAAAATTTTAGTGCTAGACAAGCAAAAATACTCTGCTAGTGGAATAGACCTGCAGATAACTATTTTTCACCTCTTGAACTAGGGCCATTATTCAAGAACTGAAGCTACCCTGAAAGAAATTAGAAAACAGGATTCCTACATTCCAATGTGTCATTATTTTTCTCTGGATTTCTCATTTAATAAATACTTTTTTCTCCTTAGGGGAAAAAAAGTTACATGTTTTAATTACAGCAAATTAGAGCAGTGCACAAATGCACAAAGAGAAGAAGAAACTAATACAATTTTATCACCTGGGGCAACTCATCTTAACTTTTACGGATATTTCCTTCAGGTTTTCCTAGGCATATTTTTCTTCTGTAATACAAATGTGAACCCAGCTTTTAACTATTTGAACATTTTATTTTCACATTTTATTAAAAATTCTTTGGAAGTTTAATTTTAAACGATTGCAGATTATTCAATTATATGAACAAATTTTAATGTCTTTTTTATTGAACATTTTCTTTACTTTTCCAGTTTTCAATGATTATAGGTAACACTATAAAAACATGTTTATGCATAACAATTTACTTGCTTAAGACATAATGCTCAAAAGAGAACTAGTCAAAACAAAGCAGGACATTTTGAGGACCTTGATACACACTGTCAGTCTGCACACTGAAACAGTTAAATCAGTTTACACTCCCTCAGAAGGACAGAGGAATGCCCTTTTGGCTACCTGTTTACCGACTGTGAGTCCACGGATATTCCTAATAAATGTCATATTAAGATTCTAAAATCGCTTCATAAAATAAGTGATTTTAAACACTTATTTAAAAGTAATTTTGATTCTGAAATCGCCATATGACTTCAAAGTTATATTACTTTTACTAACAGTGCATTGTAAAGTTTTACCGATCCTCTGAAATCCTGGATATGTATGGTTTTATTTCAAGTATCTAAGCTGTATGATAACAAGGGTGTGATACTAAAATCCAGGAATAATATTAGGACTATAATTTTGGCCAATATTTCAACCACTTCAACCCCGAAGTTTTTTTCAGAGCTATACAAATTAAAACACTGTATTTTTACACCAACATTCTCAGAGGGCATACTGTGTAGCACTAGCTTGTGCTCTTATGGATATGCTGTGGAAATTAGCTATCTAAGAGTAAAGCCGCAGAAATAAGCGAGCTACAGTTAACACGAACTAGAGTCATCTTGAGTCAACTACTTCAATTCAACTTCAGGTGTATGAGCTGAGAAGGCGAAGACCAGTGCTTCATAAGGGTGATCAGGGCTTCATAAGGGTGATCTGGGTCTATAGTCATTGTATGTCACAGCCCTCTCTCTTAAGGCAGGTGAAACCAGGTATCACATACAGCTGTTCAGGGTTAATGGCTCCATATAACACCAATAATGCCCAAACACTTGGAAGTGAAACCAGGTTTTTAACCTTTCTTAACAGATGACATAAGACCACAAAAAGAAGCACAGGAGGCCTACGATACTAAATTTTCCATTCATCTCGTGAGAGTGTTATATGGAAATCAAATACAAGAAAAGTTGGCCATTTGAAAAATTAAAGATTATCACTAAATAATTTTATAAATTGGCACACTTGGAAGCATTAATTCTCTGTTAAGTATAATGAGAAGATAGCGAATTCAAAGTTCCTTAAGGGCAGGGATCATGAACTTTGTGATTTGTGGGGTTTATAGCAGATTTCCCTTGAAATTGTAGGTATAATTGAGTAAATGAATGAAAAATGTTAATAAACTATATATTTGTATAGTACCAAATGCAAACTATTTTTCACATAATGAATCTACAGCTTTAGTAGTAACATGTTTCCAAAAATTTTAGATCTTCTATACTGGAAGAGTTACAATATTTTTAAATTTTCTGTGCTCTGTAACATTAGTTATCAATTAAGAAGTTCTTCTCAATTAGCATTATATCTTAAAGCACTGTCCTAGTCCATTAGATGTTCAAGGGAGGGAACAAGAGAATGACTATATACGTCAATTAAAGCAATTACAGAACAGAAAGATGTTGGGATGAATACCCATCAAGTTAGTTTTAGAACATATAAGAAGCATCAGAGTTTTGAAGGGAAAAAAGGCAAAAGTGCCCTATCTTGGCTGAGTAGCACTATTAAATTCAGATGCAGGGTTCTATTTAGTTTGGACAGGTCCCAGCCACAGAACAAAGTCAGTCTGTCTTAGTGCCATAACTGAATTCTACAAGTTAACAGCTTTTCATGAAAAGCTGCCATTTCAAAATGTCAATCAAATCTGAGCATAAGTGGGAACTCCTGCAGAAATAACCAGCTGCAGGTTTGAAAAACATTTTTCACTGAAAGTGGAAACACAAAAGATGTTTGAACGGGATCTCTTTTCATTCCTGTAACAGTAGACGGCCATTTTCACAACATCAAGGACAGAAAACAAAGGACAAAATTGCAAATAATGTCTTGAAAGGGCTATTTGCAGGGTGATGACTGATTCAAGCTACAAATGACAGAATTATTGGCAAATGGGAACTCATTAATATGAAATTGTTTGTTTCTCATTAAGTGATCATAGTCTTGGACTATTTTTTTTAATTGCACTTGAATGGATTATGCCATACAGAATGAAATGTAGCCTCAAGTTTTGGCATTTATTCTCACCGTCTTTACAGACATAGATGATGGTATCCCCTAACTTTACGGGGGTGAAATTATTGAACATATGAAAAATATTATTTCGCTTTTCAGAATACCAAAGGTAATAAAAATACTGTGCATTAATATTGCACCTTTCTTCCAAGAAAAAGTCCCTTATTGGCAATTATACAATAAACTGATATTAAATGACAGAGTACTAGGTATGACATACTATCAGAGATTTTGTGGAAGAGAGATAGCATTCATGAGATACACATCACTTTTCTTTGAGAAAATACTCTGCAGAAGATCTGCCGGCATACAGTATCTTCAGAGACACACAACAGCAAAAAGATTAATCAGAAAATAGAATTTTAAAATTGTTCCACAACTTAGAAAGTGGTAAAGCACAAATATCCTCCAAACTTTTTTTTTTTTTTAACATTACATACTTCAACAAGTCTTTTCTTTTTTTTCCATTTGCTGGCAGCAACGAAGAGACTTTAAGTTCATGTAAATGATGGCTCCTCTCAACACCAATGCAATTGTCTGTCTGGGCAGTAGAGATATCAATTTTGATTTTCTTTTATATAAATGAGAGGTAAAAATAAAAACTGATTTTCTTTTACATAAATGAGAGGTAAAAATAAAATGAGAGGTAAAAATAAAAATTGTGGTTAAAAAATTTTAATGTTTCATTAAAATTTTGGGGGATCCCACAGTTAACCAATTTTTATTTGCTTGAAGACTAAGTTTTGTTTACATATTTATTATACTCCGTATTGTTACTTAAATATAAAAACAAAAAGGTATTTAGAAATTAGACTCCCACTCCCAAATAAATGCTACAAACTGTTCAAACCAAAAACTGCTTTCATATGTTAAGGAGTAATTCAGGGACATTAGAATCTGTCTTTAAAATTTTTATTTTACAGTTCAATTTCTCATTTTCAGAAATTTGGGCTTTCACTGTTTTGATAAAAATTTGCCACATCTAACTTAACTGCAGATTTATTTAATTGCTGCAGGATAGTTTAATTAACCTTCTTATTTCTAAGCCAAATTGTGATTCTCTGGTTTCACACGCCTACTTTTACCTGAGAATTTCTCTCAGGCTTATAATCAGCAGCAGCAGTGCCCCCAAGTAAGCATCTAATAATATCCATAATATTTGTATATAAAATTAATTATGCAGAGATATAATCAATCTCAGTACACGTCTTTAACCTTTCCCAAAGAGCTATAACTCATGTTTAGTTAAATACCAATCACATTCTCCATTACAAAGAAAAATACTCTTCATCCTAATTTGAATAAATGAATTTGGTTTTAATACATTTATATGTGTTTCTAAATATAAGATAGCTAAGTCTTGGCATACTGGTGTCTTTTGCTTTAAGAACTTTTCACCTAGTACTATAGCATTCATAGATCTTCCTATGAGAATATCCAATATTTGGTTCTGAATGTTTTTAATTCTTGTGTTCAAACAGCTGTATGGGGTTGTAGAGCTTGTTAAAAAAATTGGTTGTGGTGGGGGGGCGTAAGTTGGTTACCAGTTGTCACCCAAAAATAACAGTTTCTTTTATTAGGGTATTACAAATGCAAATGGTTAATGTGGAATAAACTGTATACTAGGTTTTCGTTAGAATGTCTGAAGCTATCACACAAGGCATTCATCTGCATTCCCTGTTTATGGGGATGAAATACGTAGTCATTTGAAGTCCACAATATGTATACTGTGTTTGTAATAACTGCAGATTTTACAAGCACATTATTCTTTCCATTAGGATTAAAACCTCACCGAATAGCAATTTGTGAAAGAATTCTAGCAGGGCCCAGAGCCCAGAACTCTGACCTCTGATGAGATGCTTGGCAGCAACAAACTCTAGGTCTAGGCAAAACATCTGGTTTGAGTTAGACTTCCTGAAAAAATAGCCCCTGTACTGGGGAAACTGGTATTCACCGAGCTTTGTATATATACTTTGACTGACTTCAACACTGCTATAAGGAAAAAAAAAAAAAAGAAAGAAAAGAAAAGAAAAAGGAAAGAAAGACTCCACTAGAATGCTTGTCAATCATGACAGACTCCTTGGTGGCCCCTCCAGAGTTAAGCACTTTTATTAGCTAGAACAGTCTATTTCTCTCCATTCCTTAAGTACTTTTTTCCACATTATAGTATACAGAAAATACAATAATGTCAAAATAAATTTAAGTTTGTTATTAACAAACAAATTACATTACTTTTAATCACTCCAGGGAAGAAATCACTAAATTTAACTTCATTCTGTTTACATACATGGAGAGAAAAAATGTAAAACATGTTGAGAGTTCCTATAAATTTGGTAAATATTAAAACTCAAAAAAAAATAGCTTCTAACTAGTGTTCCTTTCTTATAAAAATTACAAACTTAAATGTGGTAGTGATGTTTATTGCAAAGAGGTTCTTTCTGTTTTTGTTTTTAATCTTCACTGCAAATCTGATGAAAAACAAAACTCAGAAATTACTCCTCTAATATATACAGAGAGAGACTAGAGAAAAAGTTCTGGGTTAACATACAAATATAAAATAATTTGGAGACAAAACATTCTTTTTAAAGATTCTTCTGCTCATTTTCCTCTTCTGATAAGCAACTTTAGTAGGACAAATGTGGCAATTCGTCCACTGCAATTAACATAAATCTCCAGTTCATTTTAAACCTATCAAAATGTGAGTATTAAATTATTCCAACATTCTTATATACACAGTCTTTCGAAGCAGAGTTCTTACAGGTCAGATTGAAGACAGCCTCAAACTATGAATGGTGCTACAAAAGGAAAAAGCGTTATCTAGCAGGATCTATTAGCCAAAGACTAATGTACAGCCCTAACAGAAGCATAAAAGCAGGATATTACAATGTGGTATTCCCTATCTTGCCTAAGATTTTATTTGAATTTCTAGTAAAAGCAAAAATGTAATCCAATTTACCCCATTGTCAATGTGTAAGATCGTGGTACTGTGAGATAATGACTGGGAGCATGATTCACTTTGAAAGACCTGGGAGAGTTTTGTCAATCTCAGGTGGTGGTAAATTGCCATTTTATCTTTCTATATATCACCTTAATTTAATTATTCCCTTTGTGAGTAGAAGTGTAAACTTATTTAAATTTAGTGTTTTGAAAGAACAGTGTGGAATATAATACAAATTAATAGTTGTACATTTCTTTAGGTACAAATTTACTTTTCCACCCAACGGCACTGTGAAGGACTCCATTGAATAGTAACATGTTATAAAACATCAATCTAATTGTCCAACAAATATCAGCAGTTTGCAAACCCCACTTTTACCACACTTTAGGGAGCAATTTAGGAATAATTATGATTACTTACACTCTGCTTGCAGGTAAAAAATAAAGTCTTATTGACCAAACTCAAGCGATAGTCTGCTCTAAGTTCCTCAGAGTTCTTACAATGCACGAACATTTGTTTGTCTACTTCTCACAAACAGCACGGTTTTTCATGTGTCACAATCATTCAGCAAATTATGAACATTGTTATATCTTAACATTATAAATTTTTAAAAAGCACATTCATATTTCTATCACAAAATCTTGTTTCTATTCTAATTTGAATCAACAGAATAATCACAGAAAGTAAGAAGTAAAAAATTTTACTTCTCCAAGCTTTGTTTCTTGAATCCATAATTTTTATATATTTTAACAAAGTTTTCCTTTGCCAGTTTTGGGTAAATATTATGTAGCTCAAATTTAGCATCTCTTTTCTCCACACTCTTAAAATCTCCTTGTGTACACCCACCACACACACAATTCCTCTACACTTCTTAGTTTGCTATAAAATGTTTTTCTAAGATATTCATTTTGACACAAAAGTTAATGAAGGACATGACAAACTCTTTTCATTTAAATTTAATTTTTAAGAGAATATATTCTGAAATTAAATGCAGATTAATATTAGTAAATTTCTATAAGGGTGAATTTACTTTTCCACTTCAAAACCAGAATAAAGTAAACCAGTTCATTTCAGAAAGAAGGCAGAAGCATTTTTTAAAAACTGTGTAAGAATGTATGCAGCATTATCATACGTATTTATATGTAATCGTATTGCAGGTATGTGATAGTAGATTTAGGAATAGAGTTTTTAGAATAATCATCACCTGGGCTGCCTAAATTATTTTTGAAAGACTGCTTTCCCTTAAACCTGACTGTACAACAATCTATATTTAGGTCAGAGCAAAAACATAAATGTGCGTAACTTGACATGTGTAATCTTTTCATTTTGTCTGATGATGATAAAGAGGAAAGCCATTATCCTAACTCTGAAGGCCACTCAGAGGGAAACCCTCTGAAGCATAGGGAAGGGGACTTCCCTGTCACCCCCCTTCTGATAGGGATAACAAGCAAACATTTTCTCCCTGACACAACTTTGCAATGTATGTAGTTAGTTAAATCCTGCGAGTACAGATTTTTTTAAAGTTGACTTTAACAATAAATAGTAACCAAAAAATAAAAAATAAAAAAATAACAGTGGTGATTTTGTGTTCTAGTAGTACTTTTACCCTGGAATTAAACAGCAAATTTTCTTTCCAAAAGAGCATGTCACTGCTAACCCTGTGCATTTTTGAAAGCTATTGCCACAAAGACACATTTATAAAATAAGCCCCACTTGTTAAAACTGTAACATTGCCACCATCACTACAGTTTCACCTTAGTGACTTAAATAAATATACATAAAGTAATAAACACTATATGTTTTATAGAGTTCTGTGAACCAGAAAAAAAAAATCACCTTACTAAATAACCTCCTGGCAAATGCAAAAGAAAAGCTAAATTTGGTTTGCTCATATTTTCTGAGTCCCCAGAATATAAAAAGCAGTGGGGGAAAGCTTGTTTAACTGAAAGACTTCTGCTTATTTCATTTTCCACACTGGCCTTTCTGGAAAGTAAGGGGAAAAAAAGTATTAAACAGGAAAGAATGAAACAATTAGAAAACGGCAATCAATATATTCTATGTTTTAAGATGACCTTGATAGAAATTTTTCTGCTGACCGAGGTGAGAGACTGAAAATAAGCTCTGTAAGAATCAGACAGGATGGCCTGCTATCCCAGGTGGTCAAATGTCCAGCAAGTAAGTTAACCCTTTTGTTTTCTTGACAGTTAAGTGATGGTAAAAAAAACTTTCCATGCTACTGCTGTTAGATGGTTCTCATGTCAAATGTTTATTCAGAATTGAGGGACAGAAAATATTAATGGCTACTGTCATATAACCAATGTTAAAAAATATATTGTTTCAGACTTGCTAATACATAATGGGCATTTTGTAAAGTTTGAGTATAATTTTCGAGTCATCACCTGGATGCTATCAATAACAACAACACTTATTTTAAATAGCCCCAAATTACATACAGTTGAGTAAATTTTAATTTGTTTTCATTTAAGGTCTTCTAAAGTTGAGGCCAGCATGCTGAAGAAAAATATTAAACTATCTATAACCCTGTGTCAACATATGATGCTACTGGGAATGCTAAGTGAATTAATTTTCCAAGGAAAATTAATTACTTATGACTTACAGTTGTAAAAGCAAACAACGTAACTCTGGATTAGGGCACGTTTAATTTCTGTTTGTAGTAGCGATTAAATTAATTTCATTTAATTCATGGTATGTAATGGAAAGCAGAACAAAAATGAAATTCCAGACAATGGCTGACATAGAAAATGTATATATTTATGAAGCCGATCCAAAAATAAAGGTCATGGATATTAATCACTGGATAATAGACCTGTATTTTTAATGGCTCTATAATAATGGGTTTTTATAGCATCATTTTTGAAAAAGTATTATCAAATAGAAAAGTCTAACACAGAGAAACAAAATATAAAACTGTAACAATATCCTGTAACATCGCCTAATACTCCTCCCTGTCACCCCAAAGAAGGCCACTGGAATAAGGATTTACACATCTTTTATTTATAACTGAATAATTTTTGTCCACACAGATTTGGGAAGCTAAAATTAAAAATACCATTACATGATTTGCGGATGAAGTTCTTAAAATTACAACTTTTTTCCCTTGACACCCAACTACTAAAGTGCTTTGAAAATGGATCATCTGTGATTCAACTGACTGAATTATGCACCTGAGCACTACTAGGACAACAGATTTTGGCCAACAGAGCCCTAAGAATACATGCACAGCTGTGCATATGAAAATATTCACCTTTTATATGCCACCACTTCCTACCTGCTCCAATTAAGCTAGAAGTAATCTTTTTATTTCAAATCTCAACTTCATGGTATAGCTAATATTTTAAGATAAAGAAACAAATCTTGCCTTGATACTAACTGCAATTAAATAGTTTAAAGTAATATAAGAAATGTCATTCTCACGGCGTATGTTAAAAAAATACCCCGACAAACACTTCATGTTCTGGTAAAAACCTAAATATTAACTGTCACTAGCCACCTGGTGAAATCACTGATAGTCTAATTCAGCTAACATTTGGGAGCTGTTGACTTCAAGAGACCAAGAAATTTGACACGTGCATTTAAACTAAAATATTTTCAAGGACTTATGCTTTTAGAAAAAAATGTAGGTGTAAACTTCAGATGAAAAACAGTACAAACACAATGCAAATGAGAATAGAAACTATACTCATACAAAATATGCTTTTCAAAATTTGACTTTTTACAAATTTTAAACTAAATTATTCCCTTTCCTAGTTACAGCTCATATCTCAAAAAGCACTTACTATTCACATATTCTCTTTTAAAATAAAAATTAATTTATGTAATGTCTTTGAGATCAAAGAGAAAATAATATATTCTAAAATCCATTATAATTTTAAACCTATCAAACCAAGGAGAACTTGTGATGTTACTTTGGAGTTTATGAAAATAAAAAATTTTGGCACTGTAGCTTTTAAGGGGATTTTTCTGAACTATCTCTGCAATGTCAAAAGATTAATTGAAGAGAGAAACTTTTCCATTCTGAGAGAAGCTGTGACCTGAGCGTGATTAGAAAACATTTGTTTTATTTTGAAGGGTAAAACTAAATGAAACAACAGAAGCCTCACCCTTTCTGGCTTGTTTTCCTAAAACACAGGATTACCTTTATTTCAAAATGGGCTTCACTCAGCATAAGCCAGACTGAAAGTAGTCTGTTTACAAAATGGCCTAAATTAAGTCTCTTTAGAGTAGGAGGTACATTCAGCTATTTTTCTGCTACTAAAGCTACCCAGAAGACTGAAACATCATCTTGGACCCTCTGACAACTTTATTTCCTTTCACACTTGGCTTCAAAATTAGAACAGTGTTTTAAGAAAAAAGACAAAGACAGAAACAAGCAACCATATCCTTCTTCATCAGAACAAAATCTGTCCTGTTATCCACATCAGTGCTGCCTTACTACATTTTTGAAAACAGAATGCTTTTCAGATTGGCAGTGGAGTCTACAAGAGAGGGAAGAGTTACACCAATACTTCCTTTTTAGAACACACACAAAACACCCTCTACATTCCCTTAAGTCTGAAATGAATTTCAGAAGTCTCTTCAGGTATTTTATTACAACTCACATTCATATTTCAGTAGAATGACTACAGGGGAATCACTAATTTTTTATGTAAACTATGACGTTTTGGCAAATATTATATGACCAACTATAAATCCACAAGTCTCAAATACTAAAGAGTTGGTAATTACATGATGAGAAACAGCTTGATTAGGGGAGAGGAAAGGCAGGCTGTCAACAAACAAACAGCTGTTTCTTATTGCCAACCGATAACCAGATCATGCATCCCAACAAACTACAGAGTTTGTTTCTGTTGTTGCTGCTGTGTTTGTTTTTAAGCATTCTACCCTCTTCCACTCCCACCTCCAAAATACTGAGTCAATTTAGATGTGAACCACAACAGAAGAATCAGATACACAAGGATAACAAGTAAAACACTATAGACTTACAAAAAATTCTGTAGGTAATAACTAACAGAAGTTTAAAGTGTACTTTCCAATTCAACTTTAAATGCCTATCTTTCCCTGTGCAACACGTCCTGTCATTACTATTTATAAGAGGCAGGCAATGGGCCTTCACTTCCTCATTCCTGGATTATGACCACAGCAACGCTGCCACTCTCTCTGATCCTTTGTTTTGGAAGCTTTCCCCATTGGCTGCTTCTGTCCTTCCTTTCAGCAGAAAGGAATGAACATGCTTATACCTGACAGGTGTGAACTAAATGACCTTGAGGGTCCCTTGTAACCTGAAATTAAATGATTCAGTGAATATTTGATAAGGTTAGCATATGAATAAACAACAGGAATAAACAGGACCTTAACATCAAAGGTTTAAACAAAGAACTACTAAAGTGAATGAAATTTTTTTGATTTCATGAAGTGAAAACACTTTCACATATGCACCTTGAGGCACTTCCATGTCTAATTTTTTTCCCTTTAACACTCCTTCAGAAAACATATCGGTATCCTTATCTTATTTTCCAAGAAGGTAAAATTACTTTCCCAAGGTGACATGACACATGAGTAGCTAAACCAAGGTCCATAGCTCACTTTGGGGTCCAGGGCTCTGTGTTCTTTCCACTAAACCACACTGAACAAGGATGGTGCCAGTGAAAATGTTTCTGAAATTTTAGTTTAAAGCAGGCTCCTGTCTATGTAAGATCTTTATCTCTCAGGGAAATTTTCACTAAACACACCCTGAATAACCCAACGGCAAGGATGGGCATAGGTCAATGAGCATAGTTATGTGCCCAAGGTATGACTAACCAAGTATTCTAATCTAGAGTCCAAATTTCCTTTTACAAACTTAATGATAAACATTAAGTTTGTAAATTTATCCACAAGAAAACACGTCCTGGCTCACTGCCAACTTCCATGTTCCATTTTATTCACAATCATGCCCTGATCATCTAGCTGACTGGGCTGGATGTCTTCTGCATTCTGCTGCCATCACTGGGTCAGTGTTCAGTTAATGCTAATTCTGGTAGCATGCCCGTAAATTTGTATTTTGAAAAACTAAAAAAAGTTGCTTAAATTTGTCAACACATATCCGACTAGGTTTCAAATCGTAAAAGAGGTTTGGATCACTTTTTTAAAAGGCTGGTTGTATTTCACACCATATGAGGGGGGTTCTGAATGAGGAACTAGGGAACAAACCACCTCTTCAAAAGGCAGCTCACAGAAGGTTGGAAGGGAGTCGAGGAAACAGGCACATAGCAAGCAGGCACAGAAGGAAATGCTGAGGAAGGCAGGGAAGAGCAAGGATACACTTGAAATTATGGCTTCTCTATTATCTATGTTTTAAAAATAACTTATGTTCTGCATTGGTTTGTGGTGGGCATTTAGAAGAGAGAAAGGAAGAGTAACAGACTTTTCAAAACCAACTCCCAAGAATAACTTCTTAAATCTCAACTTTATAAAAAGTAGCAAAACCATTATGAACACAAATTCTCTTTTAAAAATTTAAATGCTGGCTTACATAGTATCAAAGATAACTCTCTTGAAATGTCCAGGACATAGTTTAATTCTACTAGTGAAGACATCTGAAAGTTTGAGAGGCCCAACCAATGCCATTAAAACGAAGTTATGCCTACAATCCAATTTTAAAATGAAATTTCTACCTCAATCTGGGACTGTCCATGATCATTACTAATCACCACTATGGAAGCAGTTTCAAAGTAGATACAAAGTCACCAGGAATGACTGGTCATGATGACCGAATAACAACCCAACCAGGCGTGCCAGCGCTCCCTCCCAGTCTACCCTGTTTACAGAAACCACAGGCGTGGACCTCTCTCCTCTATAGCCTGTCTTTAAACTACACAAATAATGTATCTCCTGGACTTTGTCAACTCTCCTGGGGAAGTGTTATGAAGGAATGACACAATTTTTAGAGTAAATGTAGGGATCTGAAGAGAAATGTGGTGTGCCACTCCAAAGAAGCAGAGATAAAATATAAAACGGATTGTTATCCTTCCTTTCATGGAGACTTGTAATGTTCCAGATATAAAATACCTTAATTGTTGGCAGTTAAATGGCTTACTGATTTCCAAGTCTTCCTGTCTGTTAATGGTTGGTACTTGGCACATCTGGAAAATGACGGAGTCTTTCAAAAATACTGCTGGGAAGATGACCTGTTTTCACTCTCTCTCTAGGCAGGTTCACATCACCAGATGATGCTGGATATGGCTCCACTCCAAGGAAAACAACCTTTTCTTGGTCTTTCAATGGCTGTTTATGAGTATACAACAAGTGCTTTCTATATACTGCAAACTCGTTAGACAGACAAGTCCCTCTGTCAATCCCACTCTACAGTGCATATGCTTCTGTGTGGTACACATCCCCACCTTCTCCCATAACTGACGCCGCCCCTACTTTTAAACCTCAGAGATTCAACTGCCCCCCCCAACTTTTAAATCTCAGAGATTCTCTTACAAGATATTAATTTTCTTTTCCACTATGGATCTGCTTAAAAATGCATCCTACAAAAGGGAAGAACAGGTGCCTCATTTTCCTTGACTCTTATTTGACTTCAGATAGTTATCGTCATTCATTGAGAGCTTAGAATATTGACTTATTCTGTGGAGTCCTCTTCTGAGATAGATGTGGGAGATACTTGGAAGCTAAAAAGATGCTACTCAGTTCCCTAATGCCCTAACGTGTCGATCCTCCTCCCTTTTTTCTCTTCAGTTTGCTGATGAGAGCTGTTTAGTTCATTTACTAAGTTTTTATTTTCCCACAATAAAATGAAGAAAAGAAACAGAGATTAAAAATTGTACAAAAACATTACAGGAAAAAAAAAGGAATCATTTTGTAGATAAACTTCATGTTGTGGTGTTGAAAGTTAAGGTCCACAAATCAAAATGCAGTCATTTCTACAGAGCTAGGCTTTTTCACTGCACTCGCAGCGAATCACGCTGTGGTTAGTTGAAAGTGCTGTTCACATAATAAATTAACCACCTCATTTCCTTCATCACCAAAATATACATAGCGCCCTCATACAGATTTGTTTTAATAAAAGTAATAAAGCAAGCCCAGAGGTTATGGCTGTTATGACATAATCACACCTCTGAGACTTAAAAACACTCACTTGCACATCATGCCTCAAAAAGTCTTTGCAAGTTCCCTTCCAACAAAACCTAACTGCATTCATACCCTCTGGCCCCATGTATTCAAAATAAATAATGAAACAAAAGCCTTGTATATGTCAGAAAATTATCCCTTTCCATTAAGCATTTGAAAAGAATATACACTTTTTAATAATACAGTACAATAAACAGATTGGGTGCCCTGCTCTAGATTATTAAAGACAACACATCAGCAGAGTTAAAAGTACACTAAGAGGAGATCGAAACCATCCTGGCCAACATGGTGAAACCCCGTCTGTACTAAAAAAAAAAAAATACAAAAAAAAAAATTAGCCAGGCGTGGTGTCGGGCACCTGTAGTCCCAGCTACTTGGGAGGCTGAGGCAGGAGAATGGCGTGAACCTGGGAGGCAGAGCTTGCAGTGAGCTGAGATCGCGCCACTGCACTCCAGCCTGGGCAACAGAGCGAGACTGCATCTCAAAAAAAAAAGTACACTAAGAAGGCTGCTAACCTGCCTACTATCCCACCCAAAAATAGATTTTTTAAGGTTAGTTGTTCAAAACGACAACACATGCATTTCTGTGGACTGAAAAACAATTTTCATTCTACACGAATCCAGGATAAGTAACTTTTCTTACATGGTAATGATATTTAATTGTTGAGAATAACCCGGGGGGGGGGGGGGAAATCTCTCTTGTCAATATAATTTTCCCTCACTACAGACTTTTATCATTAGAATTCCTTTCCATGATCACCAGAAAGAAAGACAATGTAACACAACTGTCTATAGCATAAGATAGATTGGACGGAGAACTTTGCCATGAGTGAACCCATACCATAATTCAACGAGGCCACCCTTCCTGTCTCTGTACCACATTATAAAATCACTTTGCAGGCAGGGTTTATTTCCCACTTCAACTCTTATACCTTAGGCCTTCCTGCAGGATTATGCATTTAATGCATACTGTCCCTATAATAATGATGATGTCTTCCCCTTAAATTTAAAATGTAACATAATCTTACAAGTAATTACATTTGCCTGTGCTATTCTTAAAGATCATGATCAACTCACACTCCAACACACATATATAAAGGAATGAGTTAATCAACATTCCTGAAAAATAGCAAGTATCAGATATTCAGGATACAGTTTTGAAATTCTCATAAGTGGCCCCCCATAGTGCTTCCACATTTTATTTCTCTTCTCAATTGCTATAATCACCTAGCACAATCTTATATTTGGGTTCTCAACATTTTTTCTAATGTGAACATTATTATATTACATGGTTTTTTCCATGAGTAAAGTTAAACATTACATCCAAGATTGTTAGTGTGCCAAATGGTTATCCACATATAATTATATCCCAAAATTTAGCAAAGCAGTAATACCTTTATGAAGGATTAAACATTTTTGGAGTAATCTTATTCTACTATTTTTAGTCTACAAACTATGCATCCACACACAACCAATATATGCATCCACACATAACCAGTACACTAAAAACTCCCTTAGGGCTCTGTATCAAACAAAGATAAAATTACTAAGAACTTCCATAACTTACATTTTGATGAATAAGTTCACTTTAAAGGAAAAATTCTATTCCAATGAATCCCATCGCAACAAAGTTTTTCTTGGATAAAGATATTACACTTTACATTGTAAGTCCTAATTACTGATTTAGTCATAATCAAAGAACATTCCTTTATAAGTGCTACCTCTGATCTGTCCTGGTAAGGATTATTTCCACCGAGAACAGAATATGCCTTGCAGAGGGGGTAAAGAAATGGAGATGTATGCTAAATTAAAGAACTCCAGTTCTTTCATCCATAGCACTCCTTCTTCACTTTCCTTAGCCATTCTCACTTCAACTACATGGCCATTCTAATGCTCTCTGGCCCTAAACTACCAAACACCTTTCAAGCAGGTGCTCACATACAGAACTCCCACAGAAAGATCCAAGTCAAAAGAGAACAGAAAAGAGATGAGGTATGCAAGATAGCTCTCTCCTATCCTATTAGGTTTCAAGAAACTTTTGCTCGCCAATTCACAGAAAAACGATGTTCTAGGGTACCTTTTGAAAAGACATTTCACGTCCTCAGATCATTGGTTAGATGGCAAATATAATAAACAAGTAACAGCCCTCATAAAAGGTCAATTAATAAAGAGCTGTAAGTGTCACCTCCATACACTGAATTACACAAAGCATTCTATCACAAAGAAGGGAAAGAATGTGGCATTGGTTATTCTGGTCACTACCTCAGCTTTGAGACAGATTACATTTTGAATATGTTAACGAGGCCTTCACAAGGCCAGCCATTCACTATCAACTAAACCCAAGGGCTTGAAATTCACACAGGTATAAAACACTGAGACACAAAATTGGAGACTGGATCAGTGTTCCAGATCACAGAATGTGTAAATGAGACAGAATATTTTCAGGTAACTGAAGTCTGAACATTAAAGCTCTAAAAATGTATACAAAAGTATAAAAAGTAAGTTGTATGCCAAATACAACCTAATAAAATAAGAAAAAAAGGCTATTTATGAAATAATGAAGTGGTTTTACCGACATCTTTAAACATTTGTCATAACTATTCTCAATTAATTGAGTACCAATACTCTGTTAAAAAGAAACTGTCATGGTTGAGATTGTACACACACACACACACACACACACACACACACACACACACACACACACAGAGTCATCCCCTGGTATGGGGGATTTTTTCTAGGACTCCCTGCAGATACCCAAATCCATAGGTACTCAAGGCCCTGATATAAAACGGTGTAGTATTTGCATTTAACCTATGCTGCACAACCTCCTGTGTACTTTAAATCATCTCTAGATTACTTATAATACCTAATACGGTGTAAAGGCTATTTAAATAGTTGTTAAACTGTATGGTTTAGGCAACAATGACACGGAAAAAAAGTCTGTACATGTTCAGTACAGATGCAACTATCCTTTTTTTCCTCTCAATATTTTCAATCCATAATTAGTTGAATTTGGAAGCCCCAGATATGGAGGGCTGACTATATACACACATATACATATATGTGTGTATATATATATAAATGCACACACAGACACACGAATGTGACAGTCAAAATTCTGATGGGAAATGATCCAGACTGCAAGAAAACACCATGGTCCCTGTCTGGACAAAAAACTGAACAGATTCTTACCTTGAACATAAAGGACTTAACACTTTTAATGATCAAAGTATAAGACTGGAAGAAAACTAGAAAGGAAGACAATGATTTTCAACATATTTTCTTCAAAGGAGTTTCATTTTAAAAATATTATTTAACAGTTCAGGTTTAAAATTTTAAGTGAAAGGCTACACTTTTTAATGTAACCTTGATTTTTACAAGATTTCCAGGTGTTCTGAATGCATGTTACAGTGCATTACATTACAGTGCATTCAAAACACCTGGATCTAAGAAGCATTTGTGACCAGGCTACATTTTCTTGATTTTAAATGAACAAGAATTGTTTTAAAATTAAACACAAAAGACACATTTTCAGTTCTGATCCCACTTCAACAAAAATTTGGAGAGGCTGCAAAATTTTATGGTGTGTTTATAATAAAGTTTAAAAAATACAATAAATGGTCAACTATACCAATAATCTACCATGCATTCATTCAGAAATACTGAATATCTACCATGTGCCAGGTCCTGGGAGCTGAAGATACAAGAAGTGGAAACAGCCTACCCTCATGTAAGGGCTTTTATTGCACTAGAAGAGGAACACAGTAAGCAAATAAATACTGTGATTTCAGACACTTAACACTAGCTGTTCTTTTGTGTGTGTTGAGGGAGCAGTTAGCAGGGAGTAGGTTCCTGCTTCACAGAGAAGATAAGAAATGTAGGGGAACAACTCCTCACAGTCCTGCTATCTTCCATCTCTTGCCGGGCACCTACTACCCCACAGGAGTCTCTCTGGAGCTCCTCTCCATTTTCTTCCTTAGGCTATTCCTGGAGGCATCCTGTGGATGCCATCTCCTCAGGCAACCAGCTGCCTCCCTCTTCAGCATATTCAACTTCTCACTCTCCACTTCTCCCTCCTCCCAGTGACATTCAACACATTCAAATCCTGACCTCCTTAAATAACTCTCTTCCTTAAACATTTGTATACACTTGTCTCTCAAATGCTTACACTTCATTCAGTCCTGGATTTAATTCTTTCAGACTTCTGCCTCCACCACTCCAGTGAAATTATTTTTATGGTAATCATCAATATTTTAAATGAGTACGTTCACTTTAAAGGAAAATTTCTTTAAAGGAAACATTTAAAATTAAACACAAAAGACACATTTTCAGTTCTGTTCCTATTTCATCTTGGTTGTGTTTCACAATACTGATTTTTGCTTCTTCAAACTCTCACCCTTAGATACTGGCATGTCCTAATTTTCCTCCTACATTACATACACTGCAATGTGCATTCAAAACACCTAGAAATCTTGTTAAAATCAGATTCTGATTCAACAGGCCTGAGGGAGGGCCCAGGAGACTTTCAGCAGGGTCTCTTGTTAATCAAAACAGACCAGCAGCACAGTTATCACCTGAGTGCTTCCTAGAAACACAGACTGTCATTGCTCACTCCAGGTTAACTGAATCAGAGTTTGCATCTTTAACAAAGGGATTTTATATGCATAGTCAAGTTTGAGGAGCATTAGAGACCAGTGGTTCTCAAACCCAGGCCAATAAAACACAGACTACAGGGTCCAATCCCCCTGAATTTCTGATCCTACAGGTCTGGGAAGCAAGTGAAAGAATGCACATTTCTAGCATATTGTCAGATGATATTGATGCTGCTAGTCTACTGACTGTATTTTCAGAACTAGTGATTCTCCGCCCTGGTTGTACATTTGAATTACATGTGAATTTTAAGAAGCTTGTTGGCATGTGGGGCCCACCCCCAGACCAATTAAACTACAAACTCTGGAGATGTAGCCTAGGTATTTTTAAAAACTCCCCTGCATAATCTTAAGGTTTCTCATTTAAATAATTTAAGAGTGAGGGAAGCAGGTAGTGGCGAAAAGAAAATAGTATACGATAAATGCTAGTTAAATGACAGTACCATTACTGTAACATATGATACCATAATTCCTTAAACATCTGCTCTACCCAACTCTGCCCTGTATATAAGCACTAGAAATTTGGCAGTCTACAGGTTTGTCGTAGGCCACATCTGTCTAAAATGACCATGGGGGAAAAATAATTATTTAATTCCTAAAATTCACAGAAGAAAAACCTGCATTTATGAGATAAGATATTTTTTAAGATAGTGTCAAAACTGTGCCTTACAAAGCATTTGACTTCGTGCAACATTAGGGGCTTGAGAAAGATTTCTAAGAATATTATGAAGGGAAAGGTAACATATAATATGAAATGTATATTTAAATTTTCACTAACAATGAAAATAGCTTACCTTTTTCTGATTATAAGTAAATTCTCATTGTAAAACACACATGTACACACACACTCATCAATATATAGGGAAGACACTAAAACCAACTGAAAGCCAAAGTTCCCGAGTTAAAGCATCTGTAGCATTTGACCAAGCTTTCCTGCATCTTGTTAAAAAATTATGAAATATTTAACAAAAGTTACAGAGTATAAGCAACACCAACCAGTTTAAGAAATAAGATATTATAAATATGATTGAAACTCCTGGTGTACCTCTCCCAGTTCCCATTTTTCTCTCGTTCCATGCCCCATCCAAACTATCATCTTAAATTCTGCGCTTATTTTTATAATCTTACTATATATAGGTATTCATAAATCCTATATATTTCATATTTTTAAATTTTATATCAGCCCTATAATACTGTACATATTCTGCAACTTACTTTCTCGCTTAACATTACATCTTATGAGGTTTCTCCATATTAATCTAGCATTTCTGAGTCATTTTCACTGCTCTATCTGTTCTTTCACAGTCTTGACTTTACTAGTGTATCTTTCCAGTTTCCAGATGATGAGCACAGTATTTCCAAATTTTCACTACTATAAATATTGCTTCAATGAACTTTTTTTTTTTTTTTTTGACACAGGGTCTCACTCTGTTGCCCTGGCTGGAGTGCAGTGGCATAATCACAACACAATGCAGCCTTTATCTTCCGGGCCCAAGTGATCCTTTCACCTCAGCCTCCCCAGTAGCTGGGACTACATGTGTGCACCACCATGCTCAGCTAATTGTTTTACTTTTTTGTAGAGATGACGTCTCACTATGTCACTCAGGCTGTCTCAAACTCCTGGGCTCAAGCAATCCTCCTACCTCGGCCTCCCAAAGTGTTGGGATTACAGGTGTGAGCCACCGTGCCCAGTCTCAATGAATTTATTGTGCATGTCTTCTTAGGTTCATTTTAGAGAATTTTTCTAGGCTATATACATTCTGCAACAGAATTGCTGAGTTGAAGAGAATTCTCATCTCCAGCTCTGTTAACTTCCAGTGCTCTCCAAAGTGGTGGTACCAATTTATACTGCTATAAATAATGTACAAGATTCCAAGTGTTCCACATGCTTGCTAACATCTGAATTATCAGACTAATTTTTGACAGCCTGAAGGGTTTATGGCTTTAGCATGCATTTCCTCCATTCATGGTAAGAGAGAGAAATTTTTTCATAGCTTTATTATTCTTTTGTATCTCCTCTTCTGTGAACTGCCTGTTCATAGCCTTTGCCTGTTTTTCTCTGGAATTGTCTTTTCATGTCTTGATTTGCAAGAGACCTTTACATATTCTGTATCATTTATAGTTTATGTGTTGTAAATATAATACCTTCTCCCTGTCTATGGATGGTCTATATATTGTTTTCTGACTGAGAGATGTTTTAGATTCTAATGCAGTAGAATTTACTAATCTTTTCTTTCATGATAGTATTTTTAATGTTATATATAATTTTTTAAATGATCATATAATTATTAGTTTTAAACACTGAAAGTAACTTAAAGTTTTAGAAACTGTAACAGTGATTTCTGTGCTAACACGAAAACTAGAAGGTGAACTTGAAACTGAAATGGATCTAGTTTCACTGCCAAGGTCAATGACATACACAGAGTAAGCAAACAAAAGATAAAGGAAATTAGATATGTCATTTTAATTTAAGGCATTATTGGTAAAAGGTTCTTCAAATCATGCTATCATTTCACATTTCTTTTAAAGATAAGTAATGGTGTTACACTAGGTTATGTGTGTGTATACATGGCTTATTACATTGTTGGTGATTTCCAGGAACTTGAGAAAACTAAAGCTAGTATTTCAACATAGGAAGCATAATTCATCCTGAAGGGAAAAATACCCAGAAAAGAAATTTTAAAACTTGAAATTTAAGGAATAAATAGCAAATTCTAACACATGAGTTGGGTTCATACACCTAGTCAAGGTCAATTACTTGTTTTCCTTCAGTTAGGTCTCTGCTTTGTCACAAGTGAATGAAATATCTGAATTGCAAGGCTAAGTCTGAATTTCACTCATAATACCCTGTAAAGCAAAGATTCAGTACAGCCCATATCCTGGGCCTTAGAGTCAAGGGACAACATTGCAAAACCATTTTGGCAGAGAATTCACCTGTGTAAATAATGTCTCAGTTTTAGAACAATTTCCTCTGTTTCACCTTTGTGTTTTCTCTATTTCAAAATACTGCTTTTGTGTATGGGGCAAAAATCCAAACAAAAGTCACCTAGGTGACCGGGCATGGGACAGACTCTTTTCTGTATCCCACTTTACTATGATAATTAAGGAATTAAAATGTTTTAAAAGATTTGAGCAAACACTGTAGAACAGGCAAGAAACCTTACTTTATTTAGACCTAAACTAAAACTCCATTTAATAATCTCTACATGTTGACTATAAAACAGTTTGTTTTTTATTTTTTTGATTTGTTTTTACATAGAATTGATTCCACAGAGCAGGAATGAAAGAAAATGCAAATTCCCACCTTTGAGGTTTTACTGTGAAAAATTTCCGCTGGGAAGATGATTTTCCTTTTACAGTAATTATTCATTATCCACAATAATGAAGAATAAAGATGGCCTGGATATAGAATCCAATAACAGTTCCAAAAACTTATTTTGGCCAACCATTTCATTCTCTATCATCACCAAATGATCTAACAGAGAGGCACAAAGGAGGAAAGAGCACTGTTCTGAGTCTTTCCTACTTTACTGTGTGTGTTCATTACCAAATGGAGGTGTTAATGAGCATGAAAGTACCGAAAACACAGTCCAAAGAAGAAAAAATTATCAAGTAAATCCAATGTATTTAAGTTGAGCTTTCAGGATATGACAAGGCCAAGCTAAACCACCATTCCCCACGTCCCAGTGAACTCAACAGAGCCAAACCTGCATCATCCTGCTCTCACTCTGGAGTGTTTTCTTGGGAGTAACATCAAGTCACTTTCCAGCAAAGTCTTTAGGGGTCAGTTAGGGATATGTTGTCATTTGACCACACTGGCTGCCTCTCTCTCCAGAAATAATGACAGGCATGTGTTTTTAAAATCACCTCTCCCCATCTCCTAAGACAAGGATTGGAACGCTGCCTTTAGCATTTTAGCTGTTATTAAACCAAAAGTATTTTAGTTTCTATTGAAATAATATTATAGCTTCTATTATTTCATCTATTTAACATTCTCTCTTTGAACAGCTTTCATTTTTTAAACAGCAATGTTTGTCCATCTACTCATATCTTAAATCAAAATGAAAATAAGTATTAAGTTTATACTGAAAGCACTTAGAAGTCCAGACTAAAAATAAATTCAGTCCCACTCTGATTGTAAGGGAAATCTATTAATGGCTATACATTTTACAACAAATTTTTCCTAATACATATTCACTATAGGGAGTTTGAAAATCAAAAAGTGAAAAAAAATCACATCAACAAGTATCAGTCACCTGCTTAGTTTTTTTTCTTCAATGTAAACACATGCCTACATTTTTAAAACACAAATTGTTTTTATTCTAGAGCAACAACTTTGTTGAAATTTTAAAATACTACAAGAACAATTTCTCACATTATTAAATCTTCCTTGAAAGCCTGTTTAAATAGTTGTATATTTCAACTCATACTATAATTTTAAAAACTATTTTGCTATTGTAGTTGCTTCTAATATTTTGCTATTACAGTAAACTTGTGTATGAATCTTAACAGCAGTTCTTATTGTCTTAGAACTAGCTAAAGGGAGAACTAAAAGAAATGCATTTTTACAAGTGCATTTTAATAGGTATTAACTATTTGCTAGAAATAGTAATTTAGACTTCTACCAGCAGTGTATATAAAATGTTCACCTCACTGTATCCTTCTGACTTGCACAGATATTTTCATCTTATTACAACTTTACTTAATTGTTAGGTTGAAATAATAACACCCTCTAAAATTTGGGTTTCTTTGATAGAGAGAAATTTGTTTCTTCCACAGTAAATGGTATGTAGTGGCTCTTTACATATTTTATGTAAATGTTTTATATAAACCAACTATAAATGTATATAAATCAAGAATAAAACAAAACCTTAATAATATGCAGTTATCACATATACATATATATTTGTGGCAAATAATTTTCCTAATTCATGACATGGCTTTAAAATTATGTGTTAATAAATGACCCAGCAAATCCATTCTGAGGTATACATCCAAGAGAAATGAAAACATACATAAAAACTTGAACAAAAATGTTCACAGCAGCATTATTTATAATACTTGAAAGGTATAAATAATCCAAAAGCCTACCAACTGATGAATGAACAAAATATCTCACACACCCACACCCACACATACACACACTGGAATACTACTTAGCCATAAAGAAGAATGAAGTACTGATACATGCTGCAATGCAGACCACCTCTGAAAACATTATAAGTGAAAGAGGTCAATCATAAAAACCCACATATTGTATGATTCCATGTATATGAAGTATCTAGAGGAAAATAGATTAGTGTTGTCTGGGGCTGGTAAAGAAAGGACAACGGAGAATGACTGCTAATGAATGCGTTTCTTTTTGGGGTGATAAAAATGTTCTATTTTCACAACTCCATGACTATACTAAAAAAATCACTGACTTGTACATTTTAAATCAATGAATTGTATGATGTGCAATTATGAACCAATAAAGCTGGGTTTGTCTTTTTAAGAGATGGGGGGGTCTCACTATGTCATCCAGGCTGGAGTGCAGTGGCTATGCAAAGGCATGATCATTGCTCACTATAGCCTTAAACTCCTGGGCTCAAATGATCTCCTGCCTCAGTGTTCTGAGTAGCTGAGGCCAGGTGCGTGTCACCATGCCTAGCTTCAAGCTGTTTTTAAAATGTATATATTAATATGGTATGGTCTACTAAGACTCCTGCAAAAACAGTGAATTTGTCTCATCTAATTTTTAGAAAAGTTTGTAATATGCATATTTCTTGAAGCTATGCTGTTAGGTAACAGATTGCTCAGGGCAATCATACTTTCTTGGAAGACTGTTATTAACATGAAATATCTTTCTTTTTCCTATTTCATGATTTTGCCTTAAGTTCTATTTTGTCTAAGGTCAACATTGCTATGGCTGTCTTTTTCATTTATGTGGAATATTTTAATCCAAATCTTTAATATCAAGGTTGTTTTTTTTTTCTTTAGGAGTGTCTCTTGCACATATGTAAGTTAGAGCTGTACTTTATTTTTTAAAGTCTTAAGTTCTATTAATAGGGGAAGTTAGCCCATTCACTTTTAAATACCTATTACTTATTCCTATCTCCTTATATTTTGTTGTTTATTTCCTATACTTTCTTATTTTCTTTTCTCTACCTTTGGATGAAATTATAAACTTTTTACATTTTACTCTCATGATTTATATTAAATATCTTATTGGTGGTTGTTCTTCATATGTTTCAGGTTATATTTTTAATCAAATTCTAGAGTTAATTTATATCTGAATCTTTTTCCTGAAAAAGAATCTTAATACTTTTTATCATTTCTTTTTCTTCTACTCTCCCATGTTGAACTGATCTGATCTAGACTTAAATATTTAAAGATTAACATTATAGATTTTAAAAACTATCAGGCTCAACTATACATTTTACTGTGTGTACATGTTTCCCATGTTATGTCTTTCCCTTCTTTGGACACTCCCCTGCTTTTTGGAAGGGAGTACTTCCATCAATTCTTTCAAAGAAGGTGTGAAACAATCAGAGAAGGTTCAAAATTGTTTTTATTTTCCACTCACACTAAATTGATGGTTTGCCTGATTTAGAATTATGAGTTCAAAATGTTTTTTCCCACAACTCCACAACTACTGCATTCTATCTTCTATCATTTATTTTTTATCAATAATAGGACTGTTGTCAATCTCATTCTTTCCTTTGCAGATAAACTGTTTGCTCTCTGAATACTTTTAGTCAGTTCCTCTTTATCACGTATTCTGAAATTTCATAAGCAGGAATTTAGTGTTGGCCTTTTGTTATTCTTTACTTCTGCATTCATAAGGTGTTTTCAGAAGACTTGTCTGTCTTCAGTTCAGGAAAATTTCCTATTACTTCTGTGATTATAACTCCATACTATTTCAATTTTACATCAGATGAACGCTGAAGGTTTAGAACGTCCTCTGTATCATGTGACTTTTTGTTCATGCTTTCCACCTTTTTCAGTTCAAAACTGCATTCTGAAGGAATTCAACCTTCCAATTCATTAATTTGCTTTTAACCGTGTCCACTCTATTTAGTCCAATTATGCATTTTAATCCTGATAATTACATTCTTAAATTCTAAGATATTTGATTGGTTTGAATTCATTTTAATACATATTTCTTTATAAATGCAATAATCTCTTTTCTCTCTATGAATCTTACTTTTACTTATTTCAAAGTCTCTGTTACTTATTCATTGTCTCACTCGCTATTACTTTTTGTTTATTAAGTTTGGTGCCTCATTTGTCTACCATAGGTTTTCCTCAAATGTTTAATCATTCTTGGTAGTGAGATCGTTTCAGAGTCCCTAACTGTCTGTCTGTGTATGCTGTTTCTGTTTACTATTCCCCACCTCCGGTGATAATGTGGGAAATGTGGGACATCATGCCAGGTGTCATGTACATGGCAGGAATTTATCTTCTCAGGATGAGGCTCCTTGAGCTTCCTGACATTCGAAGGTCTCTTGAGCTATCTCCCAGCCTCTCTGGCCTATGTTAAGGTCAGTGCTTCAGCTTGGATTCACAGTATACTGGAGGAGGAGGTCAGTACAGGCCTAGCTTTGCTATATGTATCTTCTTATCTAATACTTCAGACCCTCTCCCTACTATTTGAATCTGACTAGTTTGGCTCTACCGGGAACTGCACCTACCTCAAGAACATAATGATACACAATGATCTGTATATGTTTTGAACTGTGACTCCACCAGGTTTTATTTCTCCATGAGTGTGATTCCCCATGCTTAGTATCTGTCAGGAATTCCTGAGATTTCCATCCACTAATGGGAGGGACCCTTTCTTGTTTTCCCATGCTGTTATCAATTTATTCAAATAAATATGTATTTATATAGGTACACATGTACACCTTTTCTGTCAACTCATGGAATTAGGAGTTCTGAATATGCAGCTGATGATGGTAGTGTAATTAAAGAATATCATTAATTCAGCCCACCATCTTGATGACGTTCTTAGTTTCATTATTTGCTGAACAGTGAGTAGTCCAATGTTAATATGGCTATTTTTTTAAATCTCAGACTCATATATCCAACTCCTACTTGACATCTTTCCTTGGATTTCTTATAGGCATCTCAAACTTAACATGTCTAAAACTGAATTACTGATCTTAACCCACCAAACCTGCTCTACTCAAGCATCATCCACATATCAGAACCCTTGGAGCAAGTTCTTCATAATTCCTTTCCCTCACTTATCACCACACAAACCCTGCAAAACAGACTTGACTTCTTTCCATCTTTACTGCCATTAACTTTGTCCAAGCACTATTATTTCTCACCTGGGCTAGTACAAGAGCCTCCTAGCTGTTCTATTGCTTCTCTTCTTCCTAAGTCACTCTTCCCAGATCAGCCAGAGCCAATGCTTAAAAATATAAATCAGATTGTGCCACCCCCCCTTGCTTAAACCTCTTCTATTACTTCTCACTGTTGTTAAAATGAATCCCAAAGTCTTTCACATTAAACGTTATCTCTGAATCCCAATCTGGAGGTTAGGTCTCCACTATTTACTTAAAGATCTCTTTGAAGTCAATAGCTTATTAGCCTGCCCAGGTTTCATAAATTTGGAATCTTCTCTTTATTCCACTATCTTGCCAAGATGCTCCATAACTTTATCTTGAATGAATATAATTCCTCTTCACTATAATGCCTATATCACAAAACTGTTATAGCTGTACTTTTTCTTTCTCGAGATGGAGTCTCGCTCTGTCACCCAGGCTAGAGTGCAGTGGCACAATCTTGGCTCACTGCAACCTCTGCCTCCTGGGTTCAAGCGATTGTCCTGCCTCAGCCTTCCACGTAGTTGGGACTACAGGTGCGCGCCACCATACCCGGCTAATTTTTGTATTCTTAGTAGAGACAGAGTTTTGTCATGTTGGCCAGGCTGGTCTCAAACTCTTGACCTCAAGTGATCCACCTGCCTTGGCCTCCCAAAGTGCTGGGATTACAGGCATGAGCCACTGCACCTAGCCAGTTGTACTCTTTAGATACCAGTCATTTCTATCTACTTGTAGCTAGATCAGTCCCTTTAGCAACTATCTTTCTGAAATGAGTAAGTCCAGTTAAAGGTCTGAATGCCTTAGTCCAACTTGCTATAAAATGGAAATATTCCCAGTTGAATCTCAATATATGACAGGTTAATCTAAGCTTTGCTACCATGAGATCTTGGGTAAATGTCTTAAGTACTCCAGGACACTGCCTCTTTTTCTATCAAATGAGGGGGGTAGGGTTACATGAATTCTAAGGTGTCTTCCATATCTAGTAGTCACAGATTCCATGACATAATATATTTCTTTAGAAAAAGTGTAGTATAGTACCTATCATTCAAATCCCATAAAAATTATACAGAAGGAAATACTCTATTTCACATTTAATAGCTTTTGACAAGGAGGAAAACAATGTGACCCAAGCCTTCTGGAGACAACTTCCCCACATACCATTTTGCTATCACCATAAATTCACTCTGCCAAGGTTTAGTGCTGTCTTGAATTGCCCAATGAACACATACAACCTCAAGAATTAAAAATACAGTAACAACAAAAACGAGTACTATTATTACCTACCACTTCTCTAATCACACATAAGATCTACTTATCTACTGTGAAGATCAAGTTCAATGCATGATATCACTATTGTAATTATTTTAGATAGCACCACCATTTTTATAATAATGTTAAAAGAAGAGGCTCTCTCTCCAAATTAGTTATTAGTTTCATCTAGTGTTTTCATAGTCTTTCAATCTGACCACAGTCAATTCTAAGTCTTAATCAAAATCATTAACACGAGAACAACAATGACAAAAATAATTCCCTCCTTCCCTGATGACTTAAAACTCCTACTTTCCACAAACTGTATAACCTTGAAAATGGGAATCTACTCCCACAGACACTTAATTACTATCCCAGGTTTGAGTACTGCTCCTTGTATTGATGGATTTCATAAATTAAATGATCCACATAGCTTTACCTGATACATTCCAACTCCAATGTGCTTTGGCTCAATTTTCACTAGCTCAGCTAATGGATCTTGTACACGCCTTGCTATGGAAACTGAAAAAACAGAATCAGAAAACAAGTATGACTTAATGTGAAAAGCAGTACCTAATAATTACTTACATTAGTTTCTCATAATGTAAGTACTTAATCCTGTCCCTCCTCATCATCCCTCTAAAAAAGGCCAACAATTTAAATTTCAAAGTTCTCTTTTTTCCCCACACAAAAAGTAAATGCAAAATTTCATGAATTATGTCATCAGAACTCCTAGGCATTCTTGAACACAAAGTAGTTTGACAGGATTATAGATTTGGAAAAACAAATAAAACGTTTACTCCCTATACTTACATGATTACCTATTCATTCTTCATTCTTTACGTAAAGCATAATAGGATACCTCATGCTTCACAGAGGAAGCAAAACCTTGTTTTAAATAATTCTGCATTATTACAAATATATTTATATGTCAAATATGCTTATTAGAACTCGATCCCCCAAATAATGAACAAGTGACGGAATTACCTCCTTTTTTAAAGTTCCTTTTTTTTAGAGATAGGGTCTCACTCTGTTACCCTGGATAGAGTGCAGTGGTGCCATCTCAGTTCACTGCAGCTTTGAACTCCTGGGCTCAAGCAATCCTCTTGCCTCACCCCTCCAAAGTGTTGGGATTAGAGGCATGAGCTACTGCGCCCAGCAGAATCATATCTTAATGCAACCAGAGATCAAGTTACTTGGCTAATGAATATACTCATGTGGCCTTGAATATGACTGCAAGATTGCCCTGGCAAGTGATCCTCCTTCTGTCCCAACTGCTTGTCTCTTAACACACCATAGTTCTAATTACATCCCTTTCTTGACCATTACAATCCATGCTCAAGAAACTTTAGAGTTAATTTCAAACATTCCTTTAACTGTGTCATGATTTTACTTGTTCGTCATTTATTGTCCTTTTTTTTTTTACCAAATATCAATAAAAATTCACATCTAATTTCGTTTATAAGATAGATTTAGCTAGAAAAAAAAGATAACTATTACAACTCTTATGAATAGTTCTAAAGGCAGCCTCCCTCTCCAGTAGCATATTTACACTGAGTCTTTATATATATATGAACTGCTTCCATTTTCAAAACACATGGAAGCTAATCAGTGTCACCTTCTCATACAGGTTAGATGAAATATAAATTCATTAAGTGAAAATATTAAGACCATCAAAGAAAATCCTATGCCTGTTTCCATGTTAAGCTGTTCAAGGTCTGGAAACAAAAGTCATCTCTTGCAAGTGACTCTCAGATTCTCCAGTCGCTGATTTGTACCACTTCTCTAATCAGACATAAGATCTACTTATCTACTGTGAACATCAAGTTCAACACATGATCATTCAAGTCTTTTTCACATCCTTTATTACTACATCTAATATATAGTGACAATAGCTCCTTGCAAAGCAAGCTTAGAGAACGCTGAGCTGGCGTTACACAATCTATTTTTCTCCCAGAAGAGACGGGGATTCCAAGGCCTTCACATAAACCTTTATTATTTAAAGAAATCAATCACAAAAGGTTAGTTAGTGCAAGCATTGCAGGTGATAGGAGAAATGCTTTCTTCTAATAACCACATTTATAATTACAGATTTAAAGTAGAGATATACTTGAATTTCTCTAAAGCAAATATTATTTCTTTAGCCTAACATTTAAATGTGTAATGCAATAAGAATGATTTTCAACACATATACATTGCCAAAATACTCTGAGTAAAAACAACAACAAAAACCCCCACAACAGTAAACCAAGTCAAGAATTTAAGAATACAGGGATACCTCATTGTATTGCATTTTGCTTTATTGTGCTTCTCAGACACCACATTTCTTCCAAGTTGGAAATTTGCGGCAACCCTGAGTTGGGCAAGTCTATTGGTGCCATTTTTCCAATAGCATGGGCACACTTCTGGTCACTGTGTTACATTTTGGTAACTCTCAGAAATATTTCAAAATTTAATTATATTTGTTATGATAATCTGTGACCAATGATCTTTGATATCACTATTGTAATTGCTTTAGAACACCACGAACCACACCTATAAGGTAACAAACTTAATCAATAAATGATGTCTGTGTCCTGACTGCTCCACCAACTGGCTATTCCCCTCCCTCCCTCTCCTGGGGCCTCCCTATTCCCCGACACACAACGGTATTGAAATCAGGCCAATAAATAACCCTACAATGGCCTCTTAAGTGTTCAAGTAAAAGGAAGAGTCGCACGTCTCTCACTTTAAATCAAAAGCTAGAAATAATGAAGCTTATTCAAAAGACATGTTGAAAGCCAAGAAAGGCTGAAAGGTAGGCCTCTTGGGTCAGTTAGCCAAGTTGTGAATGCAAAGGAAGAGTTCTTGAAGGAAATTAAAAGTGTGACTCCAGTGGACACACAAATGATAAGAAAGCAAAACAGCTTTTTGCTGATATGGAGAAAGTCTGAGTGATTAAACCAGCCACAACATTCCCTTAAGCCAAAGTGTAATCCTGAGCAAGGTCCTAACTCTCTTCAATTCCATGAAAGCTGAGAGAGGTGAGGAAACTGCAGAAGAAAAGTCTGAAAACAGCAAAGGCTGGTTTGTGAGGGTTAAGGAAAGAAGCCATCTTCCTAACATAAAAGTACAAGGTGAAACAGCAATTGCTGATGTAGAAGCTGTAGCAAGTTGTCCAGAAGATCTAGTTAAGATCATAATGAAGGTGGCTACAATAAACAGCAGATTGTCAATGTAAACAAAATAGCCTTCTCTTGGAAGAAGATGCTATTTAGGACTTTCATAGCTAGAGAGGAGAAGTCAATGCCTGGCTTCAAAGATTCAAAAGACAGCCTGACTCATTTTATTAGAGGGGAATGCAGCTGGTGACTTTAAGCTGAAGTCAAGGCTCATTTGCCATTCTGAAAATCCTTGGGTTCTTAAGAATTATGCTAGATCTACTCTGCTTGTGCTCTATCAATGAAACAACAAAGCCTGCACGATGGCACATATGTTTATAGCATGGTTTACTGAATATTTTAAGCTCACTGTGGAGACCTACTGCTCAGAAAAAAAGATTCCCTTCAAAATATTAGTGCTCATTGACAATGCACCTGTCATCCAAGAGCTCTGATGGAGATGTACAAGATTAATACTGTTTTCATGCCTACTAAAACAACATCCATTCTGCATACCATGTATCAAGGAGTAATTTTGACTTTCAAGTCTTATTTTTTAAGAAATGCATTTTGTAAGGCTATAGCTGCCATAGATGGTGATTTCTCTGAGGATCTGGGCAAAGTACGTTGAAAATCTTTGGAAAAGGATTTACCATTCTAGATGCTATTAATAACATTCATAATTCATGGGAGGAGGGCAAATGTCAACATTAGCCAGAGTTTGGAGGACAGTGATTTCAACTCTCATGGATGACTTTGAGGGATTCAATATTTTGGTGGAGAAAGTCACTTCAGATGTCGTGGAAATAGGAAGAAAACTAGAATTAGAAGTGGAGCCTGAAGATGTGACTGAATTGCTGTAATCTCATGATCAAACTTGACATAATGAAGAGCTGCTTTCTTAGGGACAAGCAAATAAAGTGTTTTCTTGAGATGGAATCTACTCCTGGTGAAGATGCTATGAACGTTGTGGAAATGATAAAAGATATCAAATATTACATAAACTTCATTGATAAAGCAGCAGCAGCAGGAATGGATAGTATGGACTTCAATTTTAAATAAAGTTCTACTGAATGTAAAAGGCTACCAAACAGCATCACATGCTACAGAGAAACCTTCACTGATAAAGCAGCAGCAGCAGGAATGGATAATATGGACTTCAATTTTAAATAAAGTTCTACTGAATGTAAAAGGCTACCAAACAGCATCACATGCTACAGAGAAACCTTTTGTGAGAGGAGAGTCCATTGATACAGCAGACTACTTCATTGTTGTCTTATTTTAAGAAACTGCCACCACATCTCAGCCTTTAGTAACCACCACTCTGGTCAGCAACCATGAACATCAAGGCGAGACTCTCCACCAGCAAAAAGACTGTGAACTGCTGAAGGCTCAGATGATCATTAGCATTTTAAACAATATTTTCTAAGTAAGATGTGTACATATTTTTTGAGATATAATGCCATTAGATTCTTAACACACTATAGTATAAACATAACTTTTGTATGCACTGAGAAAACAAAAATGTCATGCGACATTTTTATAACTCCTATGTCCAGGCTTTAGAGAGAGATGGTGCTACTTTCCTGCCGGCAAGATAATCAAGAATGCGTTATTTAGTGGACAGTAATAATGCAGAGCTCGAGGTTGAGAATGATCAGGCTGACAAAAGATTCTTGAAAGTAAGAGGGAGGTAGCTCAGGAAAAGGGAGTCTAATGAATTGCTGATAAAGAGAATTAAGAGAGAGGAAGAGTTATGGCCCAAAACTTAGGGAACGTGTACATTTTGAGACAGAGAAGAAAAGGAGGAAGTAATGAAAGAGGCAGAGAATAAATGACGAGGACAGCAAAGTAATAGAAGTCAAAAAGATTTCTGGAAAATGTTAAACATAGTTACATGTGCCCCAATTTTTATTCTCAGGCATACACTCAGGAGAAATGGAAACATATGTCCATATAAAATCTTATTCATGAATTTTCATAGCAGCCTTATTCATAGTAGCCAAAAATGTTAAAAAAAAAATCTATCAACTGATGACTAAACAAAATGTTGTATACCCATACAATAGAATGTTATTTGCCAATAAAAAGAAATGAAGTGCTGATACATGCTACAGCATGGTTGAATCTTGAAAACATTATGCTTAAGTGAAAGAAGCCAGTCACAAAGACCACATATTGTATGATTTCATTTATATGAACTGTCCAGAACAGGAAAATCCATACAGAGAGAAAGTAGATTCATGTTTGCCAGGAGTTTGGGTGGTGAGTGAAGACAGTAAAGGAAGTGATTGCTAATGGGCATGGGTTTCTTTTTAGGATGAAGTTATAAAACTAGACGGTGGTGATAGTTGTGCAACTCTGACTATACTAGAAAACACTGACTTGTACACTTTAAAAGGGTAAATTTTATGTTATGTAAATTATATCTCAATGAAGCTATTATTTTTTAAAATGTAGTATGTCCAAATGTATGCCAAATACTATTTTGCCCACATATAATGAATGACAACAGTTTGCTGTATCACTACTATTCACCATTGTTCAGAAAACTCTAGTTGATGCAACTTGACAAAAAGGGAAGATATAAATATTGAAATGACATTATTTATGTATGATGATTGTCTACCTAGAAAACCTAAGCAAGTCAAATGAAAAAATAACAGAACTAATAAGGTTCCAATTAGTTGGGTAGTTTCAAGACACACAAACAAAAATTGATGCTTCTACCATATGCTATCGAACCAATAACACAGGAGTTGGGGAGTGGAGAGAATGGGGAGATGCTGGTGAAAGGGTACATAATTGTAGTTATAAGTTAATAAATTACAGAGATTTTACGTACAGTATGGTGAAATTAAAATGTAATAAAAACAATAAAAACATCAAATCATGGAGAAAAACCTATTCACAACGTTAAACACACACACACACACACACACACACACACACAAACCCATGAATAATAAAAATAAAACATGCAGAACAAGGATGAAAGTGGAAATTTCACAGAATTTCACTCTATATACTATAGACTTTTAAAAGTACAGTCATCCTGTATCCTTGGGTGATTGGTTCCAGGACCCCTGCAGACACCAAAATCTGCGGATGCTCAAGTCCTTTATATAAAATGGAGTACCATTTGCATAGAACCTACACATACCCTGCCATTTACTTTAAATCACCTATAGGTTACATTTAATACCTAATACAATGTAAATGCTATGTAAATAATTGTTATACTATATTTTCAAATCTATATTACTTTTATTGCTGTGTTGTTTTTTAAAAATATTTTCAATCCACTGTTGAATCCGTGGGCACGTGCACAGGGTCAACTGTATTTATTAAAAGGCTTTAAAGTTCATTTGCAAAACACAAAAGAAATGCTATGAAAAATGCAATTTTAAAAAATTAAAGCAAGGCATATTATAAGCCACAGAAATTGAGAGAGTTGCATTGTGGTAGTCTAGACAGACCACTGAAACAAGAACATAAAGTACACATAGGGATTTTAGGTTTTTTAATAAATGCTAATTTATTAAATGGTAACATAGGTCAATGTATAGAGGAAGACAATTAATATGGGATATTAATAGAAAAAGTTAAGCATTAGAGAAAAAAATTACATTTGACACACCAAAAGTTGGGAAGGGATCCCAGACTGAGTAAAGATTACCATCCTAAAAGATATGCAACCAGAGCTACTTCCTATGGTAAAGTGATTGAGTATATAACTTGCATGACCACATGCAGTAGCCTTGAAAGCAACATTTCTCCTCACTCATAATATGTCTTATATCCAAAGAATAAAAAGAATGTCATGGGTTTTGGCCTTTCAGTTCTATGAAATATCTAGAATCCTAAAGCTTCTGGAGCAAATCAGTTTATTTGCTTAAAAGACTATACTGAACTGTACTCTCTTTAAAATTTGTCTCATCCTGTTATCTAGCAATATTAGATATCTGTATTTTTAAAGTCCAATATTCATCTCATTTTATCCTTCTCCTTGACATCAGACAGGAACAGAGGAAAATAAGTAAAATTCCCCCATGTTGTCTTTTTCAGTCAACAACTCTAAATTAGAATTTTTTCACTATAATGCTTATTAAAATGTAGTTTTAGAAGTCGATGCAAATCTACTGTAATCCTGACCCTCTAAGTAATAATTACATTTTTGAACAAGAAGCTGAGAAAGATGTTGAACTGAAAAAAATTTTCTGTATCCTGACATAATGGAGGTAGACTGAAGGTTACCCAACTAGTATAAACTTTTCAAAATTCATAGATGATGTACCTAAAAAGGGTGACTTTTACTTTATGTAAATATATCTCCAAATAAATAATTTTTTTTTTATTTCTCTGAGAATGTTAAACTTTTTCTTCTGTCTTCATCATCTCTATTTCCTCCAAGTAGCTTTTTTTCTTCCCTAGTGTATTCTGGCATCTGTTTTTAATATTAATAGTAGAAGTTTTCATTACATGTTAGGTGACCTCTGACTGTCCACCAGGGGCAGGATGCTAAAACAATGACTTTAAGTGTTTTGCCCAGTGGTAAGGCTTGTCAACTATGGCTTACTTTGGGTGCTCTGGCCATTTCTTTGTGGTACCTCTAATCCCAAGTTTCTTCAATGTTGTCTCTTGTATTGGCAGAATCCTCTTATCTGCACAGGTTTATTCCTAACATCTCTAAAACAGCATGTAAATATTTACTCAACTACCCTTTACTTCAGTAGCATCCCCACTCTCATTTGTAAGCTGTGCCCTCTATCGTAGAAACCTTCTGTTTAACCCTCTCCAGAGAACAAATCCCCAGTCTTCTGCAAAGGTAGTAAAAAGATAGTTCCTCAATTGTGTGGAAGGGGATGTTAATTGTTATTGTTATTTTATTGAGGTGAAATTCCCATAACATATAATTAACTATTTTAAAGTACAGAAGTCAGTGCTACTTAGCATACTTGCAATATTGTGCCCCACCATCTCCTATCAAGTTCCAAAACATTTTCATTATGCCAAAAGAAAAACCTGTACCCATTAAGCAGTCACTGTCCATTCCTGTCTCTCCCCAGTCCCTGACAACCTACAGTCAGTTTTCAATCTCTACAGATTTGTCTGTTCTGCACATTTCATATAACCATACAATATGTAGTCTTTTGGGATTGGCTTCTTTTACTTATGTTGGCATGACATTTTTGAGGTTCATATGGTGTTGTAGCATGTACCAGTACTTCATTCTTTTTACGGCTGAATGATATTCTATTGTATGGCTATACCACATTTTGTTCATTCTTTCATCATGTGAGTTGTTTCCAACTTTTAGCTATTATAAATAATGCTGCTATAAGCACTTGTGTACAAGTATTTTGGTTGAGTACCTGTTTTCAATTTTTCTGGAGACATGCCTAGGAGTGAAATTGCTGGGCCTATGTTTAATTTGGTCTCGTTGCTTTTTAAACAGACTTTCAACCAATACTTTCATTTTCAACCTAGCCTCAACGCTCTCACCATACTTCCAAAGTACTTGGCACCATTTCCTGAACCTATAGGGGTTTCGTGATCCATCCCAGGTTAGTTCTGTATTTTCTACAATGCTGTCTTAGAATTCAATGTTCTCAAGTTGACTAGGTGACTTATTGCTCATCTATCTGCTTTAAGCTTCAAATCTTGTTGTTGTTGTTGCTATCTCCTTTCCCATTCCTTTTATCTTAGTAGGTTTTATCTTAGTAGGTTTATGCTTTCATTCTATCATGTCATTTTAATCAATTTCAGAAGGAGAGAAGGAATAAAACATACACTCAATCTTCCACTTTAAATCCATAATAGACAGTTTAATATCATCCATCTACTATATCCATCCAATTTAGAGGCCATGTACCATGCATTGTGGGGGAATATAAGCATATATATAGAAGACAACTTCTGTTTTCAATAAGCTGATAAACTGGCCAGTGAGATGTAGTAATGAGGGTTATTTTCTTACATATGCTTAACACACATATAAATTTTGAAGTTCTGTTATATTCTTATACAGCAAACTTTTAGAGGACTTAAAGGTAAAAAATCCACACTCGTAGGTAGCTCAGATCTCACATAACGTAAAAAGTCACCCCTGGCATCAATCACCAGGAAAAAGAAAGACTCCCAATGAGAAATAGGAATTGAAAAGAAAGTGGACTCTGGAAAACCAAGAGTAGAGACTCCAAGCTCTTTGAATATTTGACTCCAGGACCAGATTTTAAAGACTCAAAGTTTCTAGGTATATATTAAACATGGTCATTGCCACATAGAAGTGAGCTAAGACACAGAAGGAAGACACAGATACTTAAAATGAATCACACACTGATGACACAGCTAGACTTTGAAATTAGAGTAATTAGAATCATAGAATGATTCTCCATTTTATTATCTTCTATTTTCATAGAATCTTGTTGGAATGTTGTAATTCTGTCTCACCTATAATACTGTGACAATTATTTACACACATGGGCCAGTGGTTAAGAAGAAACAGCAGTATCTTCAGCAGCGGGAGGCCTGAGGGATTGTTACCTCTCAGAAAATATGGTCTAAATATTTTTTCCAACACACTATTGGGAGATACCTTCTCAATAGCAACTTGAGAAATTCTGGATTTTATTTTTTTATAAATGAAAGTACCCTTTTATCATAGAAATTAGGTACACAAATATTATGTGCACATTTACTGGCTATGTGGCCTTTTTAAGCCTCAGTTTCCTATTTTAGAAGTGGGGATAGGCTGGGTGCGGTGGCTCACGCCTGTAATCCCAGCACTTTGGGAGGCCGAGGTGGGTGGATCATGAGGTCAGGAGATCGAGACCATCCTGGTTAACATGGTGAAACCTCGTCTCTACTAAAAAATACAAAAAAATAAATTAGCCAGGCGTGGTGGCAGGCGCCTGTAGTCCCAGCTACTTGGGATGCTGAGGCAAGAGAATGGCATGAACCCCGGAGGGAGAGCTTGCAGTGAGCCGAGTTCGCACCACTGTACTCCAGCCTGGGTGACAGCGAGACCCCATCTCAAAAAAAATAAAATAAAATAAAATAAAATAAATAAATAAATAAATTTTAAAAAGTGGGGATAATAATAAATACCTCACAGGGGAATAGAAAGGATAAAATAATCTTGGTAACATACTTACCACAATGTTTCACATATACTAAGTGCTTAAAAAATTACTATTAGCAGCTCCCAGTATGACTACTATTTCTATTCCTTCTGCCATTATTATTATAAGGCAACCACCAAAAGAGTACATGGTAAGGAGACAGAGATCACGCTGAGCTGCTGTGCTAAGAAGCAGCTTCCCAGGAGAAGCAAGATTTTTAGCTCAGATTTAAGAAGATGATCATTTTAGAGAGGGAATTATGTCATGAAACAACTAAAGGGAAACTACAAGCTCTTTTGGACGTAAGAACGCTTTTAGCTTTAGATTACTGTAAAAATTTCATATATATCTCTCCAGGTATAGATTTCAAGAACAGCCGATGAAATCTGATGAGAATATTTAAGGAAAAAATTAAATAAAAGGTCCATTACTAACCAAGTGGTCTAAATATTCACTTATTATACAGAAAAATGCACTGACCTGATCTAACATATTGCTTATGATACCAACTGCTTTCATTAGATGCATCATAGTATCTTAATTTCTTTACACACAAGATTTTGACTCTTCCACATTATAGAAATCAAAGCAATCAAATACAACTAAAATCAAAGCAAGCTGTTTTAAGCAAAACATGATCAAATGACAACTCTATTAGCAAGATGAGAGACTGGTCATTTGACAAATATTTGGCAATAAACTGAAAGTCTGTGTACTTTCATAAATTTGTATTACAAATATTTTTATGTTACTGTATTACTTTTTGCCAATAAAAAGCTTCAATAATATTTTGTAACAATAATAAAAGATCTTAGGATCTTTTATTATTAATATTATTATTACTAGTATTATTATTTGAGAGAGTCTTGCTCTGTCACCCAGGCTGGAGTGCAGTGGCACAATCTTGGCTCACTAGAACCTCTGCCTCCTGGGTTCAAGCAATTCCCTGTCTCAGCCTCCCGAGTAGCTGGGATTACAGGCACCTGCCACCATGCCCAACTAATTTTTGTATTTTTAGTAGAGACGGAGTTTCACCATCTTGGCCAGGCTGGTCTTGAACTCCTGACCTCGTGATCCACCTGCCTCAGCCTCCCAAAGTGCTGGGATTACAGGTTTGAGCCACCGCACCCGGCCTATTATTTTTATTACTGAACTCTCTAGCATTTAATTTTGCTAAAGACTTTGTGGGTTAGCTTTCCACTATAGAACAGTAGTGTTCTTTTAAAAAGTACAATATTCTTCCTCTTCTTTTCCATAATTTCAATTATTAGTCCAATTAACCACTTTCTTTCTAATATGCCAATTCTTATGCATGTAGTATAACTTTTAAATTTTCTTTGATATTTAGAATATTTAGCATGCCACACATGCTGCCCAAAATATCAAAATCACATGTTTTTGTGATGGTCCATAGTTTCTTACCTGCACTTCTCAAATTAGGGTCCAGCCCTGGCATCTCTTTGTTAGCTTCAGGGCTGACACTGTAGATTGATGCTCCTGCTTCACTGACGATACTGAGAAGACAGAAAAAGGGGAATATCACTTTCCTAACTTCCTGCCTGGTCAAAGAAAATAAATGAATGAAACCAGGCATTACCAGAAAAAAAAAAATAACAGGGCAAACTGTTCTCTTCATATCTCAATGATACTGACAGCATCTAATATTTCATTAATATAAAATGATTATGCAGTGTTTGTTTTTTTCACATATGAAATACACAGACTTAAATCCATAATGAATTCAATCAGAGAAATCAGTTGCTTTCTCTGTCACTGGTAACAATAGATGGTTTATAGATTAATACAATGAATACTCTCCCATGATGCCAACTTCAAAATATTCAGAATGCACATAGCCTCTCCTGTATTTATAATTCATTATTGACTGACATTTATGATTCTTACCTGAATGAATCATTCTAAGGCACCTTGAAAAGCATATGGACATATGTGTGGATATGTGCACATGCAGACATACAAAAAAACCACCATCATAAGCACTGTTATTGTTATTACCTGGTTATAATTAACAACCACAACATGAAAAAAAAAAAGGGATCAGACAGGATGTCATCCGACTTCTTTTCAGGAGGGTCTGAAAATCATCATCCTTTCAGTGAACTTAAAGTCTTCCACTCAGGCAGGTGTTAATTCCTTTCATCATTTATTTAATCAAATAGTCACACAAATCATTCTCTTTCATTCTCTTCCTTTCTTCTTTGGCTCCAAATACCATACAACCCACAATGAGAATACTGTCTTACAGCTGACATTTGTATGGGGATTGCCATTTTGTACAGCTTATGAAAAATTTTTACATTAGAGTTCTCCTTTATGACATGACAGGCAAAGAAACATCATCTACTCTAAGTATACACAATACATGTGGCTCTATACCATGTGACCATGTAGGTGTCAATATTCAAAACCAGAAACATGTTAGGGCTCACTTTTTAATTCACTCTTAGCAACCTCTCCCTTTCTCTGCTCCTCAGTATTTACTTCAATTGCATGAGGCAAATTTAATGGATGACATGTAACGTACTGCCCCACTGTAACAACTGAACATTGAGAAGTAAAATGTGGAAAAGTTAGTTTGCTATCCCCATCTTTGGAGAATTCTTGAATAAATTTTTATGACAAATGTAAGCCACCACAACTTGAGAAGATTATTCTGGGGAATGTGACAACTTCTCTTTCTGCAACCAAGATCTACTCTCTTAAATTTAAATAGAAAAAAATAAACACTACAACTGAAAAGCAAGGCTGCTTATCCTGTTTTTCATCATCACCATCATCATGATACAATAACAGCTGAGTGCATATTATACACAAAGCAAAAAAACACTTTACAGACATTATCTCATTTAATGGAGTAGGTTCCATTTTGGGGATAAGTAGTATGCCCAAGATCATATAGCTGGAAAGGAACTGAGTTAGATTTGGACCCTAACCTGCTTGATTTCCAAGTCTGAGCCCTTAACCAGCACAACCAGGTAACCCTTAAATAGTTTCTCAAACTCTCAATAAAATGAGAACTCATATTTTTGTGCCAAACAACCAACGCAACATATTTTTCTAAGGAAGAGCTACTTTCTCAAACAAAAGATCTAGAAGAACTCGTATCTCTCTTCCTTTGCCTTTTTCTTTGATCAAAAGGTAAAGTGAATTGTTTACTTATCTAAAGCAGAACTTGAGGACATACAGGAGTCAAATACGTTCCATAACTTCAGAGACCAGCTTCAAAATTAAAAGGTAATACTGCATTTTCTCCAAAATAACATTTACATTACGCTTATCTTCTAATAATATAATGATCAAGGAGAAAATGTAATGTTAAATAAAGCTTGTAGTGAAGAAAATGTAGTGTTACATAATAATGTGATGTTAAAACTAAATTAAGAAGTGATTTTTTCAGTTCCATTATAGTGGCATTTCCTAACCAGGGGCCCTTGGACTATTGGGCAGGAAGAGGCAGGATTAATCAGAACTGCATGTAAAATGTTTGTGTTTATATAAATTTTCCCCCAAGGAAAGCTGGTTCTAGCATTCATTGATTACTTAAATTCGTGACCCCCAAAAAGGTTAAGAAACACTACTACAGGATAAGAATATTTAGCCACCACCTATGGAAAATTCATTTTTAAATACAAATCAACATTCAATCTAACAAAGTCTTTTCTAAAAAGACAGAGTATCCATGAAGTACAGGCTAGACCTATTATTAAGAGAAAAGAATATTTTTGTAAATCTCACCACAGATTTATTTTCTATCATTTCCAGAAGCCTCCAAAGTTACAACTATTTAAATAAAAGGAACTTAAATGGTAAATAAAAATTCCAATTAACTGTGGTTGTTAGCAACTGGGTACCTGAGAATTTGCTGGGCTTTTGGAGGTTATAATTTTCAATAGACTGAGGGAAACTATTGCAAAGAAAAACACTCAGATAATAAATATTCCTCCAAATACCATACTGCCATTTCTTTTAAACAGAGGAATACAAAACAGATGTGACACATTGCACCCAAAGATTGTGGATTAACATTAATATTAAATCAATACAAAATGTAGTAAATTTCATATGCTTTACTTACTGAAGAGTATGTGTCTAATACACAGTTCAGTGCTCAGCATAGATCAGAAATCTTAAATAACCTAAATGCACAGAAAAACCTCAACATTGATTACTTCAATATAAAACATGTAAGGACTGAAGAAGTATATGTGACTAGAATTAATGAAACAAATCAAACTGGGAGTGATGATTTTTTTCCAGACATTGCTAAGAACAAAAGTTTTAATACCCTCCCTTTTTCATTCCTATTTAAGAGTTCAAGAATAGACACTTGCCAAAAGTACACTAAATTTACGAAAACACTTTCTGTTTGATGGGAAATTTTCCAATAAACTATTGGGAAATTATTCCAATTATCTCTAATATATTTTGAAGAAAGCAAAAATGAACTTTATATAAAATTCATATATCTAACGATTTAATATTACATTTCACAAAACAAATTTCTCAGCAGTACAAACAAATTAGCCTCAAAATCCTAGCAATTTGATTATTTTATGTATTTTGCCATGAAGCAGATGACTGAGCAGAATTTATCATCTGGGGGGATTTTAACTGCCACAGTTGTAATTCAACTAATTATTTATAGATTATTACAGTACTCAGAAGGCCCTTCAAATTGCTATAGTTTAGACCTTCACCTAAACCAATACATTAGTATTTCAAGCTTTAGATATAAGAAAGTACACTTCAGAAGCTAGCATTGAATTTACATTTTACCAGATCTAAAAGTTAATATGCCAATTCTCTATAATTAAATTGATAATTTAAGATATTTTATTTAAGCACTATTTTTAGGATTTTTATTTTAAGGAAACAAACCACACACTTATAAAGTAAAAAGCAAGTAAAGTACCTACAATATCAACGCATTCACTTTCAAATTTTTTAACAAAAACCCTATTGAGTTAAAAATGCTGCTTTATTTAATTAATTTATTTTTTTGAGACAGAGTCTCACTCTGTCGCCCAGGCTGGAATGCAATGGCGCAATCTCGGCTCACTATTACCTCCGCCTCCCAGGTTCAAGAGATTCTCCTGCCTCAGCCTCCCGAGTAGCTAGGATTATAGGTGCCCACCATCATGCCCAGCTAATTTTTGTATTTTTAATAGAGACGGGGTTTTGCCGTGTTGGTCAGGCTGATCAGAACTCCCAACCTCGGGTGATCCACCTGCCTCAGCCTCCCAAAGGGCTGGGATCACAGGCGTGAGCCACTACGCCCAGTACAAAAATGCTAAGTTTTATCTTAGGTAAAATTCAATGGTGTTACTTACAAAAAGCTAATCATTAATCAATATAATTTGTTTTCTGTATAAAAGATATACGTTTAAATAACAGAATTGATATCTCTACAGTTTACAAGTCTTTTCTACCATGACAGATTGTATGTTGATGAACCGTTTAAAACTAGGTTTTCAAAAAACTTTTCTTACAGTGACTATTCATTCTGACCATAAGGAATGTTATTATCATTATTATATTTTGCCAAATTGAGATGGGAAGGTGAGATTATTTTCATGAGAAAGAAAAACTAGGTTTTTTCTGTTGTTGTTGTTGTTTTTGAGACAGAGTCTCGTTCTGTCGCCCAGGCTGGAGTGCAGTGGCGCCATCTCCGCTCACTGCAAGCTCCACCTCCCGGGTTCACACCATTCTCCTGCCTCAGCCTCCCAAGTAGCTGGGACTACAGGCGCCCGCCACCACACCTGGCTAATTTTTTGTATTTTGTAGTAGAGACGGGGTTTCACCATGTTAGCCACGATGGTCTCGATCTCCTGACCTCGTGATCCGCCTGCCTCGGCCTCCCAAAGTGCTGGGATTACAGGCGCAAGCCACTGCGCCCAGCCAAAACTATTTTTTTTTTTAAATTACTGGGCTAACAGTTTTCACCTTCATTTACAAGATTTCATGAAGACTCTGCATGAATCTCTTTTCTTCCCATTTCCCAAATATGAAAATAACTTGGTTTTTCTGATTTTAAAATAAATTACATGCTCTTTTATGTTAACAGAAGAACTTAATTTAAAAGTAATTTGCTTAAATAAAAATGCAGTTATTTAGTAAGATACCAAAAATCAACTGGGATATAATTACTCAACACTGACTGATACCTTTTTAATTCTTTACAAAAGTATATTAGAATTCTTCAGGCTCTACAAATATCTAGCATCTTCCCCTTTTCCTTCCTTCTGCCTATCAAAAATGAAGGTATTAAAAAGCCACTATGCCAAATGCCTAGCTCATCTCAAAGTTTTAAAAATAATTTATCTAAAAAACATTCTTCCAACTTGTCAGACTGAGAAACATATCGTGAGAGGTTAAATGACTTGCACTAGGTTTCTCAACGAGTAATACAAAGCACTAAAAACATGAACCAACATAAATCTTAATTATTTGCATATGAGATAACCTGTTCTGAAGTATCAAAAGAATAGCTGTTTGTATTTTAGGGATAGGAGACAAGGCCAAAAACTAAACTACCACGAACAGTGGGGGCTCTGAGATTTAATGCTTAAAGGGTAGAGCTTACTTCTAAGAAAATATCAAAGCAATTTTAAATTCTTTTATGTAATGATGAATTATCATTTCAAGGATTCTCAAATGAGCAATATCTAGTCATCTTAAAAACTTAGGTAAGGCCAGGCACGGTGGCACACACCTGTAATCCCAGCACTTTGGGAGGCCCAGGTGGGTGGATCACCTGAGGTCAGGAGTTCAAGACCAGCCTGACTAACATGGTGAATCCCAGTCTCTACTAAATACAAAAAAAAAATCAGCCAAGCGTGGTGGTACATGCCTGTAATCCCAGCTACTCAGGAGGCTGAGGCAGAATCGTTTGAATCTGGAAGGTGAAGGTTGTAGTGAGCCAAGATCGCGCCACTGCACTCCATCCTGGGCAACAAGAATGAAACTTCAACTCAAAAAAAAAAAAAAATAAAATAAATTAGGTAATCTAGTGATTAAGAGGACATACGGAAACAAGCAGAATCATGTCCCGTCAAAGACTTTCAAACTGCAGAACTCTTTGGATGGTAAATTGAAAATCAGATCAAAAATCACAAAAATGTACATTCTCTCTGAACTAGCTATTATATTTTTAGCAATACATGCAAATGAAATGTAAAAATTCAAAAAAATTAAACTGCACTATTTATGATAGCACAACTGTGACTGAAACAAAGTGGAAAAAAATGCCTATCATTACAGTGTTCATTTAATTAAGCTTTCATTAAGAATTATTATTGTAAAATATTTTTATCTCATGTAAAATATTTATGATAAATTATTAAGTTAAAACTGGGTAAAGAAAAAGCAGGCTTATGTAATATAATGTTAATAGTATTTAAACATGTATTATTACTTTAATTGTATTCTTGTTTAAGTTTTTCTGCAATAACCATGTAATACTCATATGTAATCAGAAAAGGTTTAAAAATGTAAGAACAATTATTAATTGGTCAGGGAATCATATCAGATAATGGCCAACTTTTTTTTTTTAATTTACCAAGCTTTCTTTTAAAGTTATTGTGAACTTAAATCTTGGTAAATACATCATTTGTTTGTAGAAGATCTCAAGCAATGACATTTTATGACATCATTATGATAACATAAAAGAAAGATAGCTAAGCAGAAAAGTCAAGAATAAGTTCTCAACTTTTACACACAGGCCATTTAAGAAGCAAATGAATGATTAAAAAAATCTTATAAGAAAATACAAATTATACATCCTTAAATTTCACTTGGTCCTTGCCCTCTTGAATTTTACTTGGCCTCCCAAGTTATCCTTCATGATCACTAAGGCATAACCAGCTCACTATCTACAATATAAAATATGTGAAGTGATGCAGCAGTATGCCAGGAAAGTAGCATGTATGAAAAAGTACTAAGGGCAAAATATGGTGAGGCAGAAAAAGAGAAAGAAAATACACAACCTCCTTACTTCAATACCAAAGGAGTTTACCTTTAGATACGTAACACTAGCACCATCTGGTGGAGGACAAGTTAGAAGCAATTCTTCAATTACCAGCGTTTTGTTTTTGTTTTTTTAAGTTTGTTATGTTTCAAAAAAGATGATCATTTTCCACAGAGAACAACTCTAGTAGTGGTACAGTTATCACACAGAGGATCCACACCAAGCCTGGGAGAAAATAAAAAGTCTACCAACCAGAGGATCTAAGTATACTCCAGGATGGACATCCTATCAAATCTTAGCTACAGAGCAGTCTTTCAAAAGAACAGAATTATCTTGGCTACTTCTCTTTTGGTGCCCCATACCACAGTGGATGAAAAGAACACTTTCCAACCACAAAATAAACCTAAAATGGACAGACCCGAATTACCAACTAAAAAGCAGAGCTTTAATTTGGATTTTGGGGTTCCAAACTTCACAGAGATGACAAACTCAATGGTACCTTCAAATGCCATCATGGGGAAAAGCAAATCAACAAACTGAAGGACAAAAAAGATGGAAAGTTTGTTTCCTATTTGTAGATTAAGTACCTCTACTGAGGTAGAAGAAATTTCAACAAAGAATGGCGTAAGCAGAAATTGTTTCCCCTTACCTTCCACAGTAAGCATCTCACTCTCTCTCTCTCTTCCCTCTCTCCCCGCATTCTGCTTTTCTCTTTCAAAATCCCTCTTTTATCTTTTTTCTCTACCTGTATCTGATACCAACATAAAGTTGTTGCCATACCATAAAGTATTTAATGGTACCACTAAGGAAACTAAAGAAAAAAACTGCCACAGGACCAAACACAAGACCTGATGCGTAAGTGGCATTCGACTAGGCAAGAGGCAAGGGCCTGGTTGATACTGGGACAGGAAAAGCAGGCTCATAGAGAGGAAGGAACACTAACTGTGGAAGAAACCGTTGTTTGCAACAGTACTATAAACATTCCAGGTTCACTGCTAACAAGATACAAAACCTAAGGGGGCAGGGAATAAACACTATTCTAATTTTATAATTAAAATGGTCTTTGGTCAACATTTTGAAATGTATTGGCTTAAAAAACATGGTATGTCAACCCACCTGCCATCCCCACAAAGCACCCAAAAGTTGCTTCTCCTGATTCTTGCACTTAACTCCAAAATTATTTATGTCTTTTGTACTCAAATTTGTATTTACTCATATAATACCAGATTATCTGTATTTGTTTATACTTTTCAAGTGCACCTTCATTCAGATACAAATCTGAGAGCTGCACAGAGAATTGTGAAGTTTGCTTAACAAAGGGAAAAGTTTGCATCATTTTGCATCATTTACTCTTCCACTGCTCCTATGTTTTGTTTTGTTTTTATTTTTAGCTTAAATGCATCTGTGGGAGTTTGTCCAGTAATAAATATGAGAAGTTCAGATTGCTATGGCATAGATTTTTTAGAATAAAACATATTGCAAATTATTCTACTCCATCATTATCTAATAACGTAAGACAGAATTAGCCAACTTTGAGAATATTCTAATATTTTGCTATATTTTCCCAATAATACTGACTATTAAAAGCATTAAAAAAGAATGACAACAAAAAAGAAAACCCCAAATAAACAAACAGAAAAAAAGCAAAATGAAACAACAGTAAAAAGTAAAATAATAATAATAATTAAAAAGAGAAAGATAGAAGCAGCGATATACTTTGCCGGCAACAAACAGCCCAGTTCTTTTTTACCTATAGCTGAATAAAGTTTTGGAAATAACAATGGTTTCTGCTACATTCACTAATATGCTTCTATACTGTACTGTTACAATCTCAGCGAACTCCACTAACAAATGACATACATTCATGATGCCATTCCTCACTCCTCCCTCTCTCCCTTCTCTTACATTTGTTTATCTCTCTCCCCACAACCTCTACTTTCCTCTGAACTTATACCTCAGCAGGAGTCACCACTATCCAGTCAAAGGAGACCCTATCTACAAACTTCATCTAACATACTCACCACCCAGTAGCCTCCAGTTTGGATCTTGAAGATCTATTCTGGAGCAGCCTCAACCTTCAAAATTTCTGTTGGCCACCCAGCTAATGCTGAAAAAAAATCCTGAAAACACATGCTATGTACAGATCAGCCTCTTTTCTAATCATAGTTTTTAAAGTACACTGAACAGATGGAGGGAAAGAATGAGTTGCTCAGTTCAGCCGGCTGCTTCTTAATCTAGAGTCAGATCTTTACTTTTTTGTGATCACTGCACATTTCTGACTCTGCTATATTACACTGTGTAAATATTTAGGAGACATAATTCCTTTCAAGGATCTAAACTTCTACTGTCGCTATGGCAAATGAACCTGTTTATGCTATGTTCATTAATGGCAAGCCTAAAAGAACACAGGAATTTACTAACATGTGGTACACAAACATCACAATCATAGAGCTTCTCATGGGGACATACCAAGAACATGAAAGGCCAGTTTATTTTTACTGTCATTGCCCTATAATTTCCTTTAATTCTACTAGAACAGTCCTTAATTCAAACCCTTCCTGCAGTTACAGGAACAGGGTAGACTGAATGTACATAAACGGTACCAAAAACAACCCACATTTCCATTTAACTTTCCTTCAATCTAGAGCAGTAATTCTCAAACTGGAGCCTACATCAGAATTAGCTGGAGGGTTTCATAAAACAGATTGCTGAGCCACACCCCCACAGTTTCTACTTCACTGTGGCTGAGAATTTGCATTTCTAAGAAGTTCTCTGGTGAATCAGATACTTCTGGTCCCGGGCCCACACTTTTTAAGGTTTGCTGAGGTATGATTTACATTGCATAAAATTCACCCATGTTAAGTGAATATAATTCAATGACTTTTAGTAAATGTTGTACAACCATCACCAAAATTCAATTTCATATAATTTTTTTTTTTAAGAAACTGCCAGCCAGGCGTGGTGGCTCACGCCTGTAATCTCAGCACTTTGGGAGGCTGAGGTGGGCAGATCACGAGGTCAGGAGTTCAAGACCAGCCTGACCAACACGGTGAAACCCTGTCTCTACTAAAAATACAAAATCAGCCCGGCATGGTGACATGCACCTGTAATCCCAGCTACTCAGGAGGCTGAGGCAGGAGAATCGCTTGAGATCGCACCACAGCACCCCAGCCTGGGCGACAGAGTGAGATTCCGTCTCAAAAAAGAAAACTACCTAGGTGCAATGAATGAAGGCTCCAGTTTGTTCATATCCTTGACAATACTTACTATTTGTCTCTCTTTTTACTATAGCTATTTTAGTGGCTATGAAGTGTTATCTACTTATAATTTTATTTATATTTCTTTAATCATTAATGATGTAAACCATTTACTCAATGTACTTATTGGCCTTTTCTAACCTTCTTTAGTGAAATATCTATTCTGCCCATTTTTAATTGGTTTGTCTCCTTACTAGTGAGTCATAACTGTTCTTTACGTATTCTAACTGCAAGTCTTTTATCAGATACAATATTTGCAATTATTTTCTCCCAATTTTGGTTTATCTTGTCATTCTCTTAATGGTTTTCTGAAACAGAAAGTTGTGTGTGCTCATTTTAATTTTTGAAAATTACTTGATATATAACTGTTATACATATTTTTGGGGTACATTGATAATTTGATATCTGTATATAATCTGTAATGATCAAATCAGGGTATAAGTGGGATATCTGTCACCTCAAACATCTATTTTTCTTCATGTTGAGAACATTACAATTCTCTTCTATTTAAAAATATATAATAAATTACTGTTAATTATAATTTCCCCACTGTACTACGGAATACTAGAACTTATTCCTTCTATATAACTTCTTCATGCCCCCCAACTCTGGTAACTACCATTCTACTCTCTGTCTCCATGAGGTCAACTTTTTTGTCTCCCATATGAGTGAGAACATGCAATATTTGTCTTTCCATGCCTGGCTTATTTCAGTTAGCATAATGGCCTCCAGTTCCATCCAGGCTGCTGCAAATGACAGGGTTTCATTCTTTTTTTATGGTTGAATAATATCCCATTGTGTATACATACCACATTTTCTTTATCCATTCATCAGCTGACAGACACTTAGATTGATTCCATATCTTGGCTAATGTGAATAGTGTTGCAATAAACATGGGAGTACGATACCTCTTCAATATACTGAGTTCCTTTCTTTTGGATATATACTTAGCAGTGGGATTGCTGACTTATATGGCAGTTCTATTTTTAGTTTTTTTTAGGGAACCCATATAGAATTTTCCACAATGGCTATACTACCTTACCTTCCCACCAACAGTGTATGAGTGTTCACATTTCTCCACATTCTCTCCAGCATTTGTTATTTTTTACCTTTTTGATAAGTCATTCTAACTGTGGTGAAATGACATCTCATTGTGGTTTTAATTTTCATTTCTTTGATGATTAGTGATGCTTAGCATTTCTTTAATATATCTAGTGGTTATCTGTATGTCTTCTTCTGAGAAATGTTTGTACAGGTCTTTTGACTATTTCTTAATCACAGTATTTGTGGGTTTTCTTTTGCTATTGAGCTGTTTCACTTCCTTATATGTTCTAGTTATTAATCCCTTTGTGATAGTTTGCAAATAATTTCTCCCATTCAGTAGGTTGCTTCTTCACTTTGTTGACTGTTTCCTTTGCTGTGCAGAAGCTTTTTAGCTTGATGTAATCCCATTTGTCTATTTTTGCTTTGTCTGTGCTTTTGAGGTCTTACCCCAAAAATCTTTGCCCAGACCACTGATCGGCAGCATTTCCCCCAATGTTTTCTTTTAGCAGTTTTATAGTTTCAGGTCTTACATTTAAGTCTTTAATCCATTTTTAGTTAATTTTTATATATGGTAAAAAACGGGGATCTAGTTTCATTCTTCTGCAAATGGATATCCAGTTTTCCCAGCATCATTTATTAAAGAGGCTGTCCTTTCCCCAGTGTGTGTTCTTGGCACCACTGTCAAAATGAGTTGACTCCACGTGTACAGATCTACTTCTGGGTTCTCTCTTCTGTTCCATTGGTCTATGTGTCTGTTTTTATGCCAGTATCATGCTGTTTTGGTTATAACAGCTTTGTAGTATACTTTGAAATCAGGTAGTGTGATGCCTTCAGCTTTGTTCGTTTTGCTAAGGATTGCATTAGCTATTTGGGGTCTTTTGTTGTTTCATTTGAATTTTTAGTATTTTTTTTCTACTTCTATGAAGAATGTCATTGGTATTTTGATAGGTATTGCACTGAATCTGTAGATCACTTTGGGTAGTAAAGACATTTTAACAATATTAATCCTCCCAATCTAGGAGCATGGAATATTATTCCAACTTTCCATCCTCTTTAATTTCTTTCACCAGTATTTTATAGTTTTCTTTGGAAAAATCTTTGACTTCTTTGATTAAATTTATCCTGTGTGTGTGTGTGTGTGTGTGTTTGGTTAAATTTATTCTGTGCATGTCTCTGTGTGTGTGTGTGTGTGTGTATGTGTGTGTTTGGTTAAATTTATTCTGTGTGTATGGTGTGTATATGTGTGTGTGTAGCTATTATAAATGAGACTGCTTTCTCGATTTCTTTTCCAGATTGCTGCTAGTATATATAAACAATATTGATTTTTTTTTTTTTAAGACAAGGTCTGGCTCTATTGCCCAGGCTGGAGTGCAGTGGCACAATCACGGCTCACTACAACCTCCACCTCCCACACTCAAGCTGTCCTCCCACCTTGGCCTCCCAAGTAGCTGGGACTATAAGCACATGCCATCATGCCCAGCTAATTTTTTTGTAGACATGGGGTTTCACCATGTTGCCCAGGCTGGTCTTGAACTCATGCGCTCAAGCAATCCGCCCGTTTCGGCCTCCCAAAGTGCTGGGATTACAGGTGTGAGCCACCACAGCCAGCCAACAGTATTGATTTTCATATGTTGATTTTGTATTCTGCAACTTTACTGAATTCATTTATCACTTCTAAGAGTTTTTTGGTGGAGTCTTTAGGTTTTGAAAATATAAGATGGTGTTGTCTGTAAACAAGGATAATATGACTTCTTCTTTTCTAATTTGGATGCTCTTTATATATTTCTCTTGCCTAAATGCTCTGGCTAGGTCTATGTTGGATAGAAGTGGGAAAGTAGGCATACTTGTCTTGTTCTGTATCTTAGTAGAAAGGCTTTCAGTTTTTCCCCATTCAGTGTATTAGCTATGGGTTTGTCATATACAGACTTTATTGTGTTGAGGTATGTTCCTTCTCCACCCAATTTGTTGAGAGTTTTCATCATGAAGGGACACTGGATTTTACTGAATGCTTTTTCAGCATCTATTGAAATGATCATATGGTTTTTGTCCTTGATTCTGTTGATGTGATGTATCACATTTACTGATCTGCATAAGTTGAACCATCCTTGCATACTTGGGATGAATCTCACTTGAAACACAAAACTTTTAATTTTAAAAAAATTTTTTGATTTTTAATTTAAAATATTTTTTAGACAAGATATCACTCTGGAGGGGAGGTGGTTCCAAGATGGCCAAATAGGAACAGCTCCAGTCTACAGCTCCCTGCGTGAGCGACACAGAACACGGGTGATTTCTGCATTTCCAACTGAGGTACTGGGTTCATCTCACTGGGGCTTGTCGGACAGTGGGTGCAGCCCACCAAGCGTGAGGTGAAGCAGGGCAAGGCATCGCCTCACCCAGGAAGCGCAAGGAGTCAAGGAATTCCCTTTCCTAGCCAAGGGAAGCTGTGACAGATGGCACCTGGAAAATCGAGTCACTCCCACCCTAACACCGTGCTTTTCCAATGGTCTTAGCAAACGGCACACCAGGAGATTATATCCCACGCCTGGCTCGGAGGGTCCCACACCCACAGAGCCTTGCTCATTGGTAGCACAGCAGTCTGAGATCGAACTGCAAAGCGGCAGCAAGGCTGGGGTAGGGGCACCTGCCATTGCTGAGGCTGGAGTAGGTAAACAAAGCAGCTGGGAAGCTCGAACTGGGTGGAGTCCACCGCAGCTCAAGGAGGCCTGCCTGCCTCTGTAGACTCCACCTCTGGGGGCAGGGCACAGCCAAACAAAAGACAGCAGAAACCTCTGCAGACTCAAATGTCCCTGTCTGACAGCTTTGAAGAGAGTAGTGGTTCTCCCAGTATGGAGTTTGAGATCTGAGAACGGACAGACTGCCTCCTCAAGTGGGTCCCTGACCTCCGAGTAGCCTAACTGGGAGGCACCCCCCAGTAGGGGCAGACTGACACCTCACACGGCCGGGTACCCCTCCAAGACGAAGCTTCCAGAGGAACAATCAGGCAGCAACATTTGCTGTTCAGCAATATTGGCTGTTCTGCAGCCTCTGCTGCTGATACCCAGGCAAACAGGGTCTGGAGTGGACCTCCAGCAAACTCCAACAGACCTGCAGCTAAGGGTCCTGACTGTTAAAAGGAAAACTAACAAAAAGACAGTGTGGTGATTCCTCAAGGATCTAGAAGTAGAAACACCATTTGATTTGACCCAGCCATCCCATTACTGGGTAGATACCCAAAGGATTATAAATCATGCTGCTATAAAGACACATGCACATGTATGTTTAATACAGCACTATTCACAATAGCAAAGACTTGGAACCAACCCAAATGTCCATCAATGATAGAATGGATTAAGAAAATGTGGCACATATACACCATGGAATACTATGCAGCCATAAAAAAGGACCAGTTCATGTCCTTTGTAGGGACATGGATGAAGTTGGAAACCATCATTCTCAGCAAACTATCGCAGGGACAGAAAACCATACACCGCATGTTCTCACTCATAGGTGGGAATTGAACAATGAGAACACTTGGACACGGGAAGGAGAACATCACACACCGGGGCCTGTCGTGGGGTGGGGGGAAGGGGGAGGGATAGCATTAGGATATACCTAATGTAAATGATGAGTTAAGTGGTGCAGCACACCAACATGGCACGTGTATACATATGTAACAAACCTGCACATTGTGGACATGTACCCTAGAACTTAAAGTATAATAAATTAAAAAAAAAAAGATATCACTCTGTCACCCATGCTGGAGTACAGTGGCATGATCACAGCTCAATGCAGCCCCAAACTCCAGGGCTCAAGCAATATTCTTGCCTTGGCCTGCCAAAGTGCTGGGATGACAGGCATAAGCCACTGCGCCCAGCAAAAGTTTTTAATTTTGATGAAGTCTAGGCCCACACTCTGAGAATCACGAGAATCACTGTTCTAAAGCCTCAAAAACTCAAAAGAAATACCAAGCCCTTGAACTATGTGAAAGCTTAAGAGTTTTCCAGCTGCACAATACATAAATGTCTTTCATAGCATCTACTTTTCTGTTTTGTTTTAGCAAAGCCTATCATAACTGGCATCCTAAACATATTAATTAGCCCTTTCCATGAAGAAAACTTGCAACTGACTTTAATATATTATGGAATAAATAAATTTATTTTCATTTATTTCAGCTTCAGATGGGCCTGAGCTATCACCTAGGAAGACTGGATGGAGTGTTCATACTAAAGAATATGGATTGCTGCGCCAGTGTTTTCATAATCATTGGTCAGCCCTATGGCTTTTGACATCCTACTTATGAAAAATATAAGAAACATGTCTACTTTACAAATTAATAAGATAAATGGTGCACCATGGTAAAGATTATAGAGAACAAGCATATTATCTTAAAAATACATTTGATTTATCTTGGCATTTTTGTCTAATTTTATTAGTCATTTTCACTTTAGAGCCATTTAAAATAATTCACATACCAATTCATCCCTTTCTTAGTTGAAAATCTATTGTACTTCAAATTAAGAGGAACCAAAGACGGCAGCTAAAGTTCAAATCTTGTCTAATACCATAATTAGCAACTGTGTGAAACATACTTCAACAAATGTAAAATATGTTTGATTCAGATCAAAGTAATATTAAGGTTATTCATTTCCAAGGTGAAACCCAAAATAATGCATGGTTTTTCCTTAGTGATTACCCACTTCCAAAAAGCAAATCCAAAGAGGAGGAGGCTTATATGAATGCTATTTCTATAACCTAAGACATATATTCTGTAATTCTATGGAAAAACTGTTATAATAGGCAGAATCCAGTTAAAAGATAAAGAAAGTTTAAATTTGCAACAAGAATCCTTCTTTATATAACTCAAGTCAGTCTTGAGTTATATAAAGCCCTAAGCAAGAAGCTTTCTTTACTGAAGAACTACCAAGTTTTTACTATAAAATATTTTCAAATATTTATGTTCCAATTCATGGATCTTATTGATAACATAAAAGCCATTAGTCCTCATTGCCTTCTAATTGCTCAAGATGGATTTTACATATCTACTAGTCTTCATAAATTATCTACTAGTCTTCACAAATTACCCTATAAGTTACAAGCCTGTTGGCCAATCCTTCATTCTCCCTTTTCCACGTGCCACTTAAAGCCACTTGAGAAAAAGCTTTCCAAAGTGATGCCAGAGGATGTAGCTTCATATCTGACCCACAAACTTTCAACACAGTCTGGTTCCCAAAAAAATGACTTTTAGGGCATTTTTTCATCCAAATTCTTTATGTTTTTTGCAATTCAAAAAGATTAGAGTCATTGGAGCTTCTTTCCCAAATTACACCAAATTAGACTATCATCATCTCTGTGATGTAATCAGACCAGAGATTCAAGATAAAGATCAACATACGAGAAACAGAGGAAATAGTTTACTCAAAGCATACAGCCAATTATAATTTAACCATAATATTAAAAGGTAATAATATGCAAAATAATAATAGTTTTTTAAGCCTTCCTTTTTCACCAATTTCCTTCCTTAAACAGGTAGCTATCAATTACTAGAAGGCAAAAACTTATCACTTATCAAGTAAACACTTTTTCTGTCCTTTATTACTAATCAGTCCTCTAGACTTAGGACATTTAGATGGCTCGAGGGGGAAAAGGGAAGAGGAAGCGGCAAGGACCTTAAACAGGAGGTCTTACGCCTGGCCCTTTTAGATTTGATGGTCACCAGTGTGTACATATGTATGACATATGATCGTAACAGAAGCCCATCCTCAAAAATCTGCAATTTCCTCGTGAAGTCTTTAATAAAAACGAGGAGTAAGGATGGGAACACACCGCCAACCCTCATTATTATCTAGTGAAGTCCAGAAAATAATCACTAAAACCTTTACTTCTACAAAGATCAAATTAGTATCACACCAAATAGGTGCAAAGGAGAATAAGGACACATAAACACAACCGAGTCTTCTACACAAAACCTGTGGTGCACTCTCAAAAATAAATGAACTGTACCACTTCAGCAACTCATCCATCTATGAACAAATGCCCTCAGCCTCTTCCTGAGAAAGGAAAAAATCAGTTATATCTGTCTTCATCTTGTCTGAAAATCTTGACATTTTTCAGCAAGTAAAGGTTCCAAATGGCAGGTGTCAGAATGTCTTAGCCTCACATGTGGAGCAAGAAGGCAGAAAAAGCAGCAGCAGCATGTGGTCATGTCAGAGCCACAAAGAAGCTGCCTAGAGAGCACATTCTGAAAAGAGCAAACCTCAGGCTCAGTTAAATCAATCTAGTGCCAGATGCCACTATCAGAACAAAGCTGTGGTGCCAAGGATTAGCTGCCCAGAGAAACATCCAACTCAAGGCTCTCACATAAGGGAAAATAGCTGAGCACAATGGCACCTGTCCGTATCCTGTGTGTATAATTTGGTCAAACTGGCTCCTTCTATGCAGAGAAGAAAATGGCCACCAAATTCTTTGTTAAGTCTACAAATGAGTATAATTTTCTCAAGATCCTTTTCAGTTATTCTAAAGTAAATAAGATGAATCTCCTGCATTTGCACAATACTTAAGAGCTTCCTGAAAGTGTTTTAGGATCTATTAACTCAAACCCATTTTAATATTTACAGCTTTATCAGGAAGTTAGGATCATAAGTAAGCTCCCCATATTTGGAGGAAGAGAGACCCAAAGAGTTAAATAATCAGACCAAAATAATCTAAAACCATGACTTAGGAAAAACCTGATCTCTGGACTGTTAGGTCAGACTTCTTTCTATTTAGATATCCTCTGCCTAATCCCTCCTCCCAGTCATCTTTTCACTGGTTTTCCCAATAATAAGAAAGCTTTGGAGGCTTTTAAAAGTTGTTTGTGAATGTCAGTCAATTATCATTTTTGTCTCCAGAGGTTAACACAATTGGCATGATAGTATACTTTGTTGCTCCTCAGACCTGAGTCTAAGAAAGAGTAATAATGTTTAAGGAATATTCAAAGCAGGAGATGCTGAAGAAGCATACAAATCAGTGATTTGTTTAGGGAGGAGTATTTACTGTCAAGCCATCTGGTTAGATACATCAGAAATCAAACAAACTAGGGTTCACTCAGATGAGCAGTATATGATTAATAATACAATCCATCCATGGAAAAAGCAAATTTGTTCTCATTTAGGTTTTTATTCTCTATTGGAATACACAAAGGGATCACTGGGACAAAGATTCATACTTCAAAACCACCTCAGTTCCTCTCTTATGGCACAAGATAAAGCACAAGCAGGAGCCAGGACTTTACTTGTATTTAACTTAGTAATACTTTAACATAAAACAGTGCCAACAGAAAGGCCTTTGGAAGTATCTAGAACAGGTATGATCTTCTAATTCTCTCACAGAGAAGCTGGAGTTTCCTCCAGCTTTTTTACTCCCTAATGACATTTTTTATTCCCCACTGACATTTATTTGCCATACACTTGTGCCTATTTCACACTAAATCAGCCCAGGGGAGCCTATATTATCTTGCCTTGTCATCAGCTAGCAAGTACTATTCTTAAACTCTATGCTCAAGTAATTTCTCATCTTTGTATTTTCAGATCTTCTTCTAAGACCAATTAAAATATACAGCATGAAAAGGATAAAAACACCAATTAATACAGACCCATAGTCATTTGAAGACCAAGAGTACTCTCACACGTATGTTCTACAGTTTAAAAATCAAATGTAAATTAAATAGTGCATATTAAATAGTGTTTTCTAAATTAATTTCTTATTCACCATTTAGTCTGCAGGTTTCCAGTTCTTTAAAACAAGTCATTTTGATATGATTTCCATGTCTGCTGTCTTTTTTCCCACACACTTGGCTGACTTAATTGATTCCAGACTTCCTAGCATCTCATGTATCTGTGTTATAGACTGAAATAGAGGGTTTTGTTTTTCATTAATATGGATAAAAACCAATTTGTGCTCATGTTTGGCGTATAGTAAAGAATGAGTGTTGGTAAAAACGAGGTCTGATGCTGTTGTCAAGAAATGTTTATTGCTTAAGATCATGAAAATGGTAAACAGACACATGAAATGGAAAAGCTCTGCATTATCAGACTTGGTATGTATCTCAACTGAAATACAAGCAGGACTAACCAGACACACATCTCATAATTTCCAGTGTCACTGTACAATCATATTAACAGTGGTCAGTTTTTTTCAATCCACAGAAAAGCAAGCAGACAAACCAAGGCACTTAAATGTCACTTGGCTAATGACTCTCATTTCAACCTCTTTGATTAAGCCAAATCACAAAAGACTATGCTTATCAAAATCACAGAACATTCTCTGAAACTTAAAAATAATCCATATTAGGCTGGGCGCGGCGGCTCACGTCTGTAATCCTTGTACTTTGGGAGGCTGAGGCGGGTGTGGATCACCTGAGGTCCGGAGTTCAAGACCAGCCTGGCCAACATGATGAAACCCCATTTCTACTAAAAATACAAAAAATTAGCCCGGCATGGTGGCGGGCACCTATAATCCCAGCTACTCAAGAGGCTGAGGCAGGAGAATTGCTTGAACCCAAGAGGTGGAGGTACAGTGAGCTGAGATCGTGCCACTGTACTCGAACCTGGGCAACAAGAACAAAACTCCGTCTCAAAAAAAACAAAAAACAAAAACAAACAAAATAATAATAATAATAATCCATATTCAGTCAATTCTCCCTTAAAGCCATGAAAATCGTCTAAAATCTCTTTTGATATCCCTGGCAATTTTCAAACTTAATTGTTGGGCCTAATTTTTGGCAAATACATTTTATCTTAACAATTCTCAATGCTCAGATGAATTCATAAGTGGCAGAAAAAAAGAACCAAAATAAATAAATAAATAAATGAACATAACCTGGTCTAATCTTACCTAAAAGGAATGACATTTCTCCCATCCCTTCTTACTGTCCCCTGACACAAGTTCTTAAAGCCTGACCGATAGATATTTACATAATTTTTAAAACACAATATGCTAAACAAATTTAGAAGGTTGTTCAGCTATTCAGTCACACTATAATTTAAATGTATATATTCTTGAAAATTGTTTTTAAATATAAAAAATAACACAAATTAGAAGAAAGCTAAAGCTGTGTTCTTGAAATTCCCAAAGGTAAAAGAGGAAAAGAAAAGTTACAGCTGTCACTTAATACATACTGAACACCATGTGTAAAGAAAACTGGCAATATAATCTCATACTGAAGAATTTAAACTACAGACTTCCTGATTTTCCGGTGCTGGAAATTACCTCTAACAGAAACTATACACAATGGCTGAAGAAACTTTTAAAATTATTTTATTTCCCCTAAGTTTATTTTAAGCATAAAGCCTCCATTCCAAAATAAATTTTAAAGGACTTGATGTTGTCCTAAAAATATAGTCTTTTATATGACAGGACTCCAGTGAATTTTTCCTGTTAAGTTTTCCAACTCAAAATTAGGACAACTACATGTGAAATTAGTATCTCTAATATTATTGTAGTATATCACACACATGGAGTCATATTCCAGCATTATTTTCAGTTAAAAGTTAAAAAAACAAAAACAAAAGTATGTTAGAATACAAACTCAATGTGTGATATGCTATGTTGACTTAACTTTGACTTTTTTATTCTTAGAACTTTTTTTCTTAGAGGAAAATAGAATAGTGATATTTCTTCTTTATGAGCAATTTTACCCAGTGAATTGCTAAAGATAATAAATGATTTTTACTAAAATAAATGTAAAAATGATTAAAGTCATAAGTCTTCATGAAACGAATTATTTACAGTCACAGGCATTCTTAGACAATTTTCCCTATGTTTAAATGAGAGAAGAAAAAAGGAAGAGAAAGAAAAAAAGCAGACAGAAAAATGTTTGCAGGGCACGGTGAGTTGGGAGGTGGGGGCAGGGAGGTGCAGAGAAAGAGAATACATGCTAGTACACAAATTGACATGACCACCAAATCCATTAAAATTTTTTCTTTCACTAAAGTACTTACGATACAAACTAATAATGGCTTGTTCTGAAGCAACATAACTAATTGATATCAAGCAACCTACTTCTCCAAATCATCTACCTACCCTAATCTCCGAGGGATATATTGTTAATAAAATCAATGCATTTTCCTCATCTAGAATAAGTCACTATTATGAGCAAATTTGAGAGTATCAGTTTCTAACCTTACCTAGTAAAAAACAAAATTTTACGTATTAGAAACACACACACAAGGCAGGGCATGGTGGCTCACGCCTGTAATCCCAGCACTTTGAGAGGCCGAGGCGGGCGGATCATGAGGTCAGGAGATCGAGACCATCCTGGCTAACACAGTGAAACCCCATCTCTACTAAAAATACAAAAAATTAGCCGGGCGCGGTGGTGGGCGCCTGCAGTCCCAGCTACACGGGAGGCTGAGGCAGGAGAATGGCGTGAACCCAGGAGGCGGAGCTGGCAGTGAGCAGAGATTGCACCACTGCACTCCAGCCTGGAGGACACAGCAAGACTCCGTCTCAAAACACACACACACACACACACACACACACACACACACACACACACACACGCAAAGAAGAAACTAAAGGTCATATTTTCCCTTTCTTCCAATCTACTCCCCAGGCTTAGAAACCAGGTTTGTCTCCAGATATTTTTCTTTTTCCTTTTTCTCTTTTAAGACAGGGTCTCACTCTGCTGCCCAGGCTGGAGTGCAGTGGCGCAGTCTCAGCTCACTATAGCCTTGTATTCTTGGGCTCAAGTGATCCTCCCATCTCAGCCTCCTGAGTAGCTGGGATTACAGGCGTGTGCCACCATGTCCATCTAATTTTTAAATATTCAGTAGAGACAAGGTCTCACTACGTTGCCCAGGCTGGTCTCAAACTCCTGAGCTCAAGTGATCCTCTCACCTTGGCCTCCCAAAATGTTGGGATTACAGATGTGAGCCACCATGCCCAGCTAGATATTTTTTCAAACACCTATTTCATTTCTAGTTTGGCTATTTAAATATCCCCCCAAATACTTGGAGAAACACAGATTTCTAAGATAATTTTTCAGAAACAAATTAGCACGCATGTTTATGTGTGTATATACTCTACTTGTTTAAAGCTTTAACTTCATTATTTAAAAATGTAAGTTTTCTGTTATATAGAGATATACACACAAACACACAAAGAACCTGTAACTAAAATTAGTCTTATTCTACCATTTTCAAGTGTGGGAAGGGATATTTTTAAAACAAAGAGTACTTTTTGAGTTAGAAAGATGTAGACTATAATACAATTAAAGGATAAAGGAGCATACAATTCACACATTTTACACCTAAATTTATTGTCCTTCTGGAAAGCTATGTTTTTCTCACAAAGATTAGAATTTACTGCATTACCCTCTAAAATACAGAAAAATCTTTCCACTGTGTTAGACTATTTTAGGTGAGGCTCCTATGAAAAAAACAGCCAAGCAGCTTGAACTATCACATTAAATGGATCACAGGGTTTATAAAGTGCTGTTTCAAAGGCATTCCCCACACTAAGTATCACAAACAGCAAGAGAAGACTCCACTTCAGGCCCAAGACTAAAATCGTTTCCCTGAATTGTTTCTTGTCAAATTAAAATGTCAAAAATTATTCTATCAAATTCTGTCCCTAAGGATTCTAGCTCAATCCAAAGAGTAGCTACCAATTAGTAAAGTCGGGCCTTTTAACAGTACAAGAAATTTTTTTTCTATTGATATGTAAAATTAGCAGGTTCCAAAAAGAAAAGTTTCATCTCAGCAGTTAGGTTAAGTGCTACTGATAGCTATAATCACATGCAGGCTGCAACTCCTTTTTGAAAGGCTTTTCAAATGAACAAATACAAAGAAAAAAAGAGAAGCACAAGTGTTTTCATAGTGAATGACTGCCTAGGATTATAGTTATAAAAAGCCAAGGTTAGAGATCCAGATATCCATGAGTATTGCGAACCAACAAACCAAAGTCAAACGAAATCCTTGCTCCCTCTTTTGACAAGGTCAGTGCACCCATCCCTTAGCACAATAACCGACTGAATTGCAGGCTGTACAAGGTGCTCCAGGAAAATAAAATCTACCACCAATCATTTAACGTTTTTCTATTGCTTTGGATGAGCAAATAAAATCCTCTAAGAAAAACATTTCCTGTTCACTTTGTTGTTTCGCCAAAGCTGCGTATCTTCGGAAACTGACTTGTTAGCAGTATCCGTTCATTAGCAGCATAAATATGCAGATGTAATAAGATGTTCTTGGCAGCAAATCATACTGTATCTTTTTCACTTGCCACTCCAGATGAATTTTTATAGTACATTTATAATTTATCCACAGAAGTAAGAGTCATGTTCATCTACCAGAAAGAGCTATGAGTGTTCATGAACTTCCCCCAAAAAGTTCTAAAACTTTATGTCAAGGAATAGAAATACAAATAACAGGAAAAACATGCTCACATATAAGACCGTTTACATGAGGCAGGTACTTAAGTTGCCTAAGTTTACGGTTTGGCAAAAATCATCAAATGACCTGTGGCTACTAGAGTGATCAAAGTTTCAATTTTAACTGTGGCGAGAAACAATGTTATCGGCAAAAATTCAATGGTATATATTCCCATGCATATATTCCTTCTGCACTTTTCATAAGAAGCCTCTTAGACTTGAATTATCAAATACTTCCCAGTGCTGACGCTTTTTAAAGTCTCCATTCCCAGATACCAAGCTTTTTGGCATTGTGGCTAAGCAGTGACAAACAGATCATTTCCTATTGATTCTACTTACCTCATCAAGACTGCTAGAATCCAGTTATGTAAAGAATTATTTTCAACAGCCACCTTCAATTACAAATGTATGACATGATCACAGACTTCCAATGCTAATCTCCTTTCTAGTTGAAATACCCACACAAGAGCCCTTTGAGACACACAGCATGGCTACGTGATTTGCTTTGCTTTATCCTGCAAAGAGGCTGAAATACACTGGAATCTTCTCTTCTCCATAGTTAATGCAATACACATCTTTTATGCAAAGTGGTATGCAGACCAACATGCTTTTGTCAAGATATGAGTCTTGCCAAAGGGATTTTCTTGGTTAAAACACTATTTCTCTAACTTGAGCTTCTAAACCTGAAGGCTGCTTAAAGAAAAGGAAAGAAAATCTTCATGTAATTGACTATCATTTCTCCAAGTGTTTTACCTATAGACCATACTTCCTTAGTTTACATACATTTGCATGACTTGAATACTACATCTGTAACTTCAGAGTCCTATTGGAACCACAATTCTGGACTTAGAAACTTTCAGCCTAGTTTACTGAGAATACGCATCACTTACCCAATGAAAAGAAAAACTGAATCTATGAAGGATAATCCTATCAACATACTAAATTGTACTTATCTGTTGAAGAGATACTTTTAAATTCCAAAAAATAACAATTTTCTGGCACACTAAATTCAGGCATTTACACCAAGGGCAAATATCGAACTCTACTATTTCCATGTGACAACCAACTAGGGCTTTGAACAGAAAGACAATCATTGTGCTTTACGTGTAGGAGGATTCATGAAAATCTTAAACTGAATTTTTATAAGTCAAAATCCATTTTAAATGCAACAAAGAGCTCACCAGCTAAAGGAACTACAAAGTTAAATTTTTACATTGCCAAAGATTCACTGGTAAAGTGCTGATTATCCCTTATTTTATGAACTTTTAACTTATGATTGTATGTTTGGAATTTGTGTAAGTGAATATTTTTCTTTATGCCTGTATTATTCCTAGGCTAGTCATGGAAATATGGACCTCCAAATTCTGTTAGAGAAAAAAAAGGTCTGTCCCCTTTAACCTACTAAGGGAAGTAGAAAGAGACACAAACCTCATGCTGAGAAGGACCAAGCAAGCACACAATAAACACACAAATTACCCCCAGAACACATGCCCCTCTGACAACAGAAAGCAAAATCAAAAAGCAAGAAATCAAGCTCTACTTTGCTGTCAAATGCTCTACCCCTGAGCTATATACCCCCATGGCCTCAAACTCTACTTTGAAACTCTTTCCTTCCTGGCCCTAACAATATTCTTCTATAATTTTTATCCCATGGCTCCAGCAAGAACATATCCATAGGATAGCATGCCAGAGAGCTGGACAGATCTTTCCCCACATTCTTCATCATACGAAACTGTGTTAGCCCAAACGTAATCCCTAACTATTTCTTGCCATCTGCTGAGATTTCAGGCTCAAAAAAGATGTCCAGTTATAATGAGAATATATGGTATGTAGTCTAGTAGTCTAGTTATGTAACAAGGGCTAGATTACAAGCTGAAAGTTCCTCTTCTCCAGAATGCCCCTTAAGGAAAAAAAAAAAACAACTGACCAGTTAATAAAATACTTCGTTTCAGCCTAGCACTGAGACAAATTCTCTTCATGCTGAATTCTAAAGTGCATAAAAGTTGAAGAAGATGAAAAATTCAAAAGGTGTTATATTTCACAACCTTAATAAAAACTATTTGGCAGAGTTTAGGACCTATAAAGAACAAACTCTGGCTGGCTTGATCATTGAGCCCTCAGGTCCCTTCAAGAAAATGAGGAGTTAGAGCAGATCTTTGAGGGTATTCTGACTCAAATACCGTATCATGTATAATTTACGAAAATTCTTTAATGCTGAAAAAAAGATGAAAATTCATTAATCTGAATGTAAATTCGGTCTTGTTCAAAACAGTTTTTTTTTGTTTGTTTGTTTTTGCTATTGTCTCCTCAACCAAAGATAAAAGGTAAAAATTAAAGGATGCTAAAGACAAGTTTATTCTCTCAATTCAAACTTTCTGGTAATAGCTACCATATTAAAACAATGGAGAGGTGGAAAGGCTGCATGGTGTGCTAGGACTTTGAGATTTAGAATCAGATGATTTGGACTTAAGTCCAAACTCTTTCATCATATTAGTTTATCAGTTTTCAGTTCAGTTTCCTCACCTATCAACTGTGAACAACACTTACAACCACGGGGTTAAAGTAAGAAATAAATAAGAATAGGTATAAAAATACTTGATAAATAGCAGTAAAGCCATGGGATATGATTACGAAAAGTCTGAATTAAAGAATTTACTAAAATCTACTTTTATTCATCTCTAAGAAAAAGTACATTTGAAATTCTTACAATTAAGTGTATTATTTCCTATAACCTGATTTTTCACAAATTTCCAGTTCATGAAATCACATTCAACGAAGTGGTGAAATAGTAACAAAGCAAATAAGTAGGGGCCATTTGTTGTGAAGAAGTAACATCCAGGATAACCACCAGTTCTAAATAATGCAAATATAGTTTCACAAGTGTATGAGTATGAACCTCAAAAAAAATATGAAAAATAAAATTTGTGACAACTTATCTATGAAAAGGGAAAAAAACGACTGCTTTACCACTGCGTTTAACTCCTAAAGTGCTACTGAGTGCATTCCAACACAAGTCATTTAGCTAACATTTAAACTAAAATTTGGCAGAAAAATAATTTTCTTATATGCCTACATAATACATGGCTAGAATGAAAACAAACGTGTCACACTTCTGGATCCTTCTCAGCCAGAATCATATGGGATGGCGGCGGGGAGGGTACTGAAACTGTCTGAGTTCTTCTGGCTCTATCATTACAGAACTCAATGAATAGGCTCAGTCAGGATTTCCAGAGGAAACACCTATTTTCATCCCAGTCTCTCTGGAATAAATACTTTTGAAAGTGTTCCAATTTGCACTTAAACCACTTTTAAAATTACTAACAACTTCCTTATACCTTACAAATTTAATGGCACTAACAATTTTCAAAGCATTTTCAAACAAAAACTCCAAGTCTATCTTAGACTATGAACAGCTGTAACAGACCATATTCTTGATCAAATATTCTTATTCAGTCTTTTAATCACTGGATGTCACTTTTTAATTTTAAAAGGAATTTCTGTATTTCATAAGAAAACATAACACTGAGCAATATGACTAAGACACTTGGAAATTAATACTGTTTCAAGCTCAAGAACAGCAAATTCCATGAGAACATGGGAACAAGAGAGAGTAGAAGAAATTATATCCTATATACATGTGGAACCATTTCAGAATTAAAGGAGATTTATTATTAGCTACTGAGTGTTAACATTTGCAGTTTCTATGGTCAGACACTGTTATCCTACATGTGTATTAATTTCTTTAACTATCACAGCAAACCTATTATTATCCCATATAGTAGCTGAAGAAACGAAGGTAGAGAGGTTGGGTAATTTGTTAAAGGTTATACAACTAGTAGGTGGCAGAGCTGGGATCTAAGCACAGACAGTCTTACTCAAGAACCCATATTCTTAACCCATATTGTGAGCTATATACTATATTCAGTACAGCGTAGATATCTTATTTAATTCACATATTCCTGAGATGTGGGTATTTTAGAAAACTGAAGCTCAGAAAGATTCAAAAACTTGCCCAAAGTCAGCCAGCTAGCAAGAAGCAGAGCTGAGGTTCAAATCCAAGACTGTATAACTCTGGAGTCTACGCTCCTTGACTTGGCACTATATTACCTCCTAAGGAGGCAGTGACTCTACCACCATGACAACCCCTAACTGATCACTATGCTGTTTCTCCTCCTCTTTCTCACCTGATTGTTGTCTTAATAGAGAAGGTATGAAAACAAAAATAGATTACATGAAGAAAGAAAATCAGCAGCCAAGAAAGACCTGAAAGATGATTTAAGTACAATGTTGTAATATTTCTAAGTTATCTCTATACAGAAAGACCACTGTCAACAATTTCTATCATCAGTAGGCAGGTCATAAATTCACCTTTTCATAATCACTGGGCATGGTGGCTGATTCACTCCATGACAAGTCCCACAGACACACTCTAAAGGGAATCCCTAGATATAACTACTTCAGCAGCCCCTGCCTTGCCCTCTGTGTTACCTATGTTTTTCTTCCACTCTCAAAACACTCCTAGTCAAGTATTCAGCCTTGACTTTAAACACAGAGGAAAGAAAAGGATAGATCTAATTAGCACATTTCAAAGTGCCAGGAACTGTGTTTAATTAAAAAACAAAATTTTATATATAACACTAAATATATGAATTGTACCAAGGGCTAAAATGAGAATCTTTTGCTCTTAAAAAGGGGACAAAATAGACATTCCAAACATGTAAACAAAAATATATGACAGTACACTATTACTTTTCGAAAATAAATATTAGGGATAAGCAGCAGCTGGAGCTGTTTTGAAAGGTGGGATCTGTGTGCTTAATGGTACCCCTGCCCCCACAAAAATCCACATTCTGAAAAAGTACCATAAAATATGCACATGCAATAAGATACTATTCGGCCATCCTTAAAAATGATGAGAAGCCTTTAAAATGGTACTTGTCTGTAACACATTAATGAGTGAAGGAAAAAACAGGTATCACTGTTAAATTATGTAACACACACACACAACAGATATATCTGGAATAGTGTTCACCAATACAATAATGATTGTTACCCCTTGAAGGAAGTAGAGATAATTCTCTACATTGCTCTTTGGATTATTCTGTACTGTTAAAAGTGCTTACAGGAGTAGATAGTTCCACAAAAACAATAAAAATATTCTTAATTTGTAAGTGTAGAGGTATAAAAACATACATTCTGATTTCATCAAAAAAGTATTGCTTTTTAAAAAAAGCTAAGTACCCTCACCATATAGATGCTGTAAGGAATTTTAACATGGTTCTGCAGGAAAGGCATTTTGTTAATATAAATAAAAGATATATTAGAATCCATAGGTTCTGGTTAACACAGAATATATTAATTGAGTCACTCAATGTATGAGTACCATATGCTAGGCACACTCTTATGTCTGAGGATACATCAGTAAATAAATACCCAAACATGTCCTGCACCCATGGAGCTTACATGTTAGCCAATATTTACTAATCCTTAAATTTTAAAAAGTGTGCAGCCCAATAGCTAAAAACATACATAGCAATGTTATAGCAAAAAGTTAAAATATACCAAGAAATTAGCTCTTCAGAAGGGTTGTACTAATTCATACACAGTAATGAGGGTATCTAAAGCACCATATAATCATCATAATTAAATATCATTTAAACAGTTTAAAATTCAGTTCAAACGTTATCAGGCCATGTTCTCTTCCTATTGTTTTCTATGTGTGTTTTATCTTTTAAATGGTTAGCTCTGCTTTGGCATTTTCTGTTGTTTTTATTGCTCTCTGTTCCTGTTTTTACGACTATCACATTGCTTTGTAATATGTTTAATTTCAATTAGAACTCAACTTTTACATAAGTGAGTTCATTATAACATGTTGTGGTAACAAAGAAGACTAAAAAACAAGTAGGTTACAGCAGAGCAACTAAAAGCAGAAAAAACTGTGAAATCCTTTGGATTAGGTGAAAGCAATTTCACGGCAATGAAAGACTAATGTGACAAGTTCTGACCAAGTCTGTATACAGCTAAGTCATCAAGCATTAATCAGAAATTTCCCGTTAATCCTAAGTAAAAGTTAACTCTCAACTCAGTCTCTGAATATGAGTTTCAGAAATAACTTGGTCAATTTTATTCAGTTTATATTTTATTTTTTTCTATGTACAAGAGTAACTTATGATAACAATTTATGTCTAGATAATTCAAGGCTGGGCGTGGTGGCTCACACCTATAATCCCAGCACTTTAGAAGGCCAAGACAGGGGGATAGTTTGAGCCCAGAGGTGTCAGACCAGCCTGGGCAACATAGCAAGATCTTGTCTGTACCAAAAACATTTTTTTTTTAATTAGCTAGATCTGGCAGCACGTGCCTGTACTCCCAGCTACTCTGGGGGCTGAGGTTGGAGGATCCCTTGAGCCTGGGAGGTTGAGACTGCAATGAGCCACAACTGCACCACTGCACTGCAGCCTGGGTGACAGGGAGCCTATCTCAAAAAATAATGATGATGATGATAATTCAAAAGCTCTCTTTATTTGATGAGAAAGTGTAATATCATAATAGGCAGGCTTTTTTTCCCCTTAAAGTTACCCTTAAAAAGGTGTGTCTTAAAATGGGTAACATCCTAGATTAACTGAAATACAATAATATATTTAGCCTCCACAATAATCCTGTAAGTATTATCATCATCATTTTTACAGGTAGAAAAACTGAAAGTAAATAATTCACCCAAGAGCATAAAACTAGCAAAATATCCAAATTTATGTGGAAACCAGATATCTGGCTCTGCTGTGCGATACTGCCCCTTCAAAAAGTCTACTGAATATTTAAGTAATTATCCACTATACCTACCTTCTAATTTACTTGAGCACTGCTATATGAGATTATTTTGAGCAGAATGAATGACAGAACCGTATTATAATTTCCAAACTAGGCTGGCAGCATTTGTCAGTCCAGTTGTTTGCTGAGTGGAGTGGAAGAGAGAAAAAGAATTTAGAGGCTGGTAGAGGCCTCATGGCCCCACCTCATACCTCTCATTACCTTAATCTACAGCACCTTGTTACATGGAAACCATGACTAAGGACAAGTCGGTAATAATCTTCCAACTTACATTTATACAACATGTTTGGTGCCTTTGTAAGAATCAACCAAGGAAACATCTTTTTTATGTTTTGGACAGACTATAAAGGGATAGTCTGAAAAAGCACAGATCATAAAATAACAACCTATAAATTTTCTATATAAAGGATACAGCTGTATTGCAGCAAATAAATCTCTTCAAACACAAATATCTAATTTGACTTGTTTTGTTTACGTTAATGAGGCAACAATTTACAAACTGCCAAAACATGTACTGTTTTGGTTTGTACAAGTAAAAAAAATTATTTAAATCTCATTTTTCCCAGAGAGAAATGACAGATTTGAGCTTTCTCAGGGTGAGCTCCTAAGAACGAATAAGGCTAAAAAAAAAAAAAAAAAATCTCACCATTTTTCTCTAGCAGAATTTCTAGCAAAGTATATTGAGAAAGCCTAGAAAATTGGTAGGTAAGACAAAAAGCTGTAACAAAACTTAAAGCTATTCTAGGAGTGACTATAAGCTATAATTTTTTAATCAAATCATATTTATAGCTCTACAAAGGTTAAACAAGATAGCTCCTGAAGGAGGGCACTAAAAAAGAAAACAAAATGTTTAGTTTTTATAGATAAGTAAAAATTTCAGTTATTCCCAGAAAAGACAAACAGTACAACTTTATAACCCTCATCATACTCCTGTACTCAGGGGTCCTAAACTATACAACATGGGGACCCCACTGGCCTCACTACCACCTCACTTCAGACCCACACATTTCAAACTAAACCTTGGCCGCCATTGGTCCAGGGAAACAAAAGCCTTAACTAAAGTAAAGAAACAAAAAGTTCATCTGGCCTGTTAACGCTTACAAGGACCCAGGTGCTGGCCACTTAAGTAGTTTACAAGAGTATCTTTGATTAAGCATGATTTTCATTGTGTCTCCTGTGTCCTCCAAAGGTGATTATTCCATTCATACTCTTTCATTTCCTTAAATATATTCAACATTCTTACATTATATTCTTTACTCAGTAATTCCGACAACTGCAGTGTTTGGTGGTTCAAAAGAAAATTTTGTCCCTTCTTCTAACTCAGGCACATACATTATGTGATTTTTTAAAAATTTTTGTTTATTTTTCCTGGAATTTTAGTTTCAAGAAATCTTTGATGCTTGTTAAATGTGTTGACTTTCAGAGAAGGTGGCATGTGTCTCTGCTATACAGTAATGGAGCCTTCTTCTAAGTACTCGCATATGTTAACTCATTTAATCCTTGCAACAACCTTATAAGGTTACTATTTATTATTATTCCCATTTTACATATGAGGAAAACAAGGCACAGAAGGGTTAAGTAACCAAACCAAGACCAAAAAGCTAATAAGTATTGGAATTATGATTCAAACTCAGGCAGATCAGACAGAAAAGTGATGATCTTAACCACTGCCCTGTACAAGTTCTTTATCCTTAGAAAAAATACATTTAAAGCAAGAGACACTAACAGGACAAAAGTAAAAAAATAGAAAATTACATCCCAGGCAATTATAATACTACTTAAAAAGACAGATGTTCCAGATGTCAGCCAAATAGAGTCCAACAAGCTGTCAGCATGAGCAGCACAAAAACAGCAGCAGGGTACCTGGCCTCAATGGTACTTTTGTGCTGTTACTGGGTCAAGTCAAGCCCATGTCTGCAGGAGCACATATGCTAAAGCTATCAATCTGGTTCTAGTGAGGATGATCCAGAAGAGACCCTCCTCCAAAGCCCCATGGCCAGTCCAGGCAGTAGTGTGAGAATATGGATTAGCACCTGCTGACACTGCCACAGGCTGTTTGCTTTAGGCATTTCTGGTGACAGTTACAAGATCCCTGAATTTGCTACAGACAGGAGACAGGGAAATACGGGGGAGAAGAGGGCAGTTCCCCGGCAAAGGCCCCACCCTCAAACCTGGATATCCATGGCCCTAGTGAGATACAGGCATTCTTGTTTTCGTGCCCAAAAAGTTGCCTTTTGGCCCACCATGCCTTCCTATCCTGAACCCATAAAAACCCTGAACCCCAGGCTCCAGGAGCAGATGAAGAGACAAGCAAATGGCAGAATGGCGCAGCAGAGAAAGAGGAGAGAAGGAGCATCTGAACACCAAGATGAGTTTGGCTGGGGGTGGTCGGAGAGAAGAATCAGCCACTGTACAGCCAAACTCCAGGGGAAGATCATCTTCCCACTATATCCCCTTGTCCAGCTCCCATCCATCTGGCTGAAAGCCACCTCCACCACTCAGTAAAACCCCCACATTCACACTCTTCAAGTCCATGTGTAACCCAATTCTTCCAGGATGTTGGACAACAGCTTGGGATACAGAAAGCTATTGCAATGGCCCTCTGCCCTTGCAAAAAGGCAGAGGGTCCTCTGAGCTGGTTAACACTTAAGCCATCCATGGACGTCAAGGCTAAAAGAACACACTGTAACATATGTCCACTTGGGCTCCTGCAACTGTCTGTCCGCATGCTCCCCCTCCCATAAGAGGTTTGAACAGCGGCAGCAACTAAACAGACAAGCCACACCCCTGTCGCACGTCCTGCAAGGGGAGTCAGGGAAGTCTCCCGTTCCAAATCCACTACCTAGATGACACCCAATGACTGCAGGGAGCTAGAAACACAGAGGGGGAAAGTGCCAGTTCCACAATATATAAGAACTCCTACAACTCAACAACAAAAAGGAAAACACACACACACACACACACACACACACACACAAACCAAACTCGAAAACAGGCAGAGGAGTTGAATAGACATTTCTCCAATTAAGAGATACAAATAGCCAATAAGCACATTAAAAGATGTTCAACATCTTAGTCACTAGGGAAATGTAAGTCAAAACCAAAATGAGATATCACTGCACCCCTACTAGATGTCTATAATTTTAAAAAGAGAAAATAATAAGTGCTGACAAAGATGTGAAGAAACTGGACCCCTCATGCATTGCTGGTAGGAATATAAAATGGTGCAGCCATTATGATAACTCAAGATTTGATAGTTCTCAAAAATCAAAATATACAATTTGATTGTATATTTACACTCCTACATATATATTACCAGCAATTACACTCCTAGGTATATATCCAAAAGGATTGAAAGCAGGAATTCAAATCCCAGCACTTTAGGTGGCCAAAGTGGGAGGATCACTTGAGCTTAGGAGTTCTACACTAGCCTGGGCAACATGGTGAAACCCTGTCTCCACAAAACAATTTAAAAATTAGCCAGGCATGGTGGCACGTGCCTCTAGTCCCAGCTACTCAGGAGGCTCAGCTGGGAGGATCGCTTGAGCCTGGGAGATTGAGGCTGTAGTGAGCCATGATCATGCCACTGCACTCTAGCCTGGATGACAGAGCAACATCCTATCTCCCAAAAAAAGAAAGAAAGAAAGAAAGAAGAAAAAAAAAAGGAGAAAGCAGAGATTCAAACAGATAATGTATACCAATGTTCATAGCAGCACTATACACAATAGCCAGTAGGTGAAAATCACCCAAGTGTACATCAACAGACAAATGGATAAACAAAATATCGTATAGATTGAGCATCCCAAATCCAAAAATCTAAAATAAAAAAATGCTCCAAAATCTGAAATTTTTTTTTTTTGACAGAGGGTCTCATTCTGTTGCCCAGGCTAGAGCAGTGGCATGCACTGCAACCTCGACCTCCCAGGGTCAAGTGATCCTCCTAGCTCAGCCTCCCAAGTAGCTGTAGCTGGGACTACAGGTATGCACCACCACACCAGGCTAATTTTTTTATTTTTAGTAGAGATGGAGTTTACCATATTGCGAGAGCTAATCTAGAGCTCCTGGGCTCAAGCAATCCTCCTGTCTCAGCCTTCCAAAGTGCTGGGATTATGGGCATGAGCCATGCATGGTGCCTGGCCCAAAATCTGAGCACAAACATGATACTCAAAGGAAAGCTCACTGGAGCATTTTGGATTAGGGATGCTCAACTGTTAAGTATATAATGCAAATACAGTTGACCCTTGAACAACATGGGTTTGAATCATACTAAAATTTTCCTCCATTTCTGCCATCCCTGAGATACCAAGACCAACTCCTCCTCTTCCTTTTTCTCTTCAGCCTACTCAAATAAAGATGATAAGGATGAAGACCTTTATGATGATCCACTTCCACTCAATCAATAATAAGTATATTTTCTCTTTCTTACAATTTTCTTAACATTTTCTTTTCTCTGGCTTACTTTATTGTAACAATATCGAATACAAGACGTATAACATACAGAACATGTGTTAATCAACTGTTTATGTTATCAATAATGCTTCCAGTCAACAGTAAGCTATTACTAGTTTTAGGGAGTCAAAAGTTATACACAAATTTCTGACTACACAGAGGGGGTCAACATCCCAACCTCCACATTGTTCAAGGGTCAGATGTATTCTAAAATCTGAAATCTTAAAAAAACTTCTGGTCCCAAGCATGTGATATAAAGGATACTCAACATGTGTATGAAACAGAATAATTAATGAGTCAAAAAAGAAATGAAAAAGGACATTAGAAAATATACTTTGAGATAAATAAAAATGAAAACACAACATACCAAAACTTAAGAAATAAAACTAAAGGATATAGCTAAGAACTATAGTTATAAATGCCCATATTAAAAAAAGAAGAAACATCTTAAATCAATAACCCAACCTTCCACCCAAAACGCTGGAAAAAAAAAAAAAAAAAGCAAACTAAACCTAAAGTAGGCAGAAGGAAGGAAGTAATAAAGATTACAGCAGAACTTAATAAAACAAAGAAGAGAAAAATAATAAAGAAATGAACTCCAAAGTTGAACTCAAAAGTTGGTTCTTAGAACATATTAACAAAATTGACAAACCATTAGCTAGACTGACCAAGAAAAAGAAAGAAAGAAAGACTTAAATTACTAAAACTAGAAATGAACAGGGGACATTATTACTGACCTTAGAGAATTAAAAATTATTATAAGAACAACTGTGTATGCCAATATATTAGATAACAAAGATGCAACTGACAAATTACTGGAAAGACACAAACTACCAAAAATGACTCAAAAAGAAATAGACAATCTGAATAGACCAATAACAAATAAGGATACTGAATTTGTAATTAAAAAAAAAATACCCACAATCCAGGTGGTTTTAAAACTGAATTCTACCAAACATTTAAAAAAAGAATTAATATCAATTCACAAACTCTTCCAAAAAACAGGAGGGGAGAACACTTCCTAATTCATTCTAAAAAGCCAACATTACCCTAATATCAAAATCAAAAAAAGACACCACAGGAAAAATACCAAATAATATCTCTTATGAATATGAATGCAAAAATTCTTAACAAAATACTAGCAAACCAAATCCAACAACACCATCACCAAGTGGGATTTATCCCAAAAATGCAAGACTGATTCAACAACCAAAAATCAATTAATACAGTACATACAATCATGTCAACAAAATTAAAAACAAAATTCATATGATCGCAGAAACAAAAAAAGGAGTTTGACAGAAGGGAGTATCTTTTCATGATAGAAATACTCAACAAACTAGAATTAGAAGGGAAATTCCTTGATCAGGTAAAAAGCATGTAGGAAAAACCCACAGTCAACAACACAATTAATGATGAAAGACTGGATGTTTCCCCTAAAACAGGAACAAGATGAGAATGTCTGCTCTTGCCACTTCTATTCAACACTGCATTGAAGCTTCTAGCTATGGTAATTAGGCAAGAAAAAGAAATAAAAGACAAATACCCATAGTAGAAAGGAAGAAGATGATCTCTATTCACAGATAACATTATTTTGCATATAGAAAATCCTAAGAAATCCACTAAAAACTGTTAGCACTAATAAACATGTTCAACAAGTTTGCAAGATAAAATATCAATTATAAAAACCGACTATTTCTACATCCTTGCAAGAAACAATTAAAAAAATGAAATAAGAAAATTCCATTTACAACAGCATCAAGAACAACAAAATATTTAGGAATAAAGTTAACAAAAGAAGTATCGAACTTATACTCTGAAAGCTACAGAACATTGTTGAAAGAAATTAAGGAAGATCTAAATAAGTGGAAAGACATCAAATGCTTATGGATTTAAAGACTTAAGATTGTAAAAAGGACAATAATCCCCAAACTGATCTACTCATTCAATGCAAAGGCCATCAGATTTCCAGTTGATTTCTTTGGAGAAATTGACAAGCTGATTCTAAAATTCAAGTGGAATTGAAGGGGATGCTGAATAACCAAAACAATCTGAGAAAAAACAAAGTAGAAGACTCATATTTTCCAATTTCAAAACTGACTATGAAACAATAAAAATCAAGACAGTGTGGTTATGGCACAAGGATAGACTTATAGATCAATGAAACAGGACTGAGAGTTTACAAATAAACACACATGTCTACGGTCAACTGATTAGGACAGGGTTCTAAGATCATTCAATGGGTAAAGAACAGTCTTTTCAACAAATGTCGGTAGGACTACTGGATAGCCACAGGCAAAAAAAATGAATTTGAACCCTTACTTTACACCATGTACAAAAATTAACTCAAAATCTGTCAATAACTAAATGGATGTAGGCACTAAAACTATTAAACTCTTAGAAGAAAACATAGGAGCTCATCTTTATGACGGTGGATTTGGCAAAGTGTTCTTACATATGGCACCAAAAATCTGAACAACAAAGGAAAAAATAGAAAAGTTGGACTTCAAAATTTAAAACTTTTGTGCTTCAAATGTAATCAACAAAAATGTAAAACGACAACCTACAGAATGGCATAAAATATCTGCAAATCATACACTTGGATAAGGGACTTGTATCCAGAACTATAAAGAACTCTTACAACTCAGTAATGAAAAGACAAATTATCTAAATAAAAAATAGTAACAGTTTCAGTTATAGGAAGAATAAGTTTAAGCGATCTACTGTACAACATGGTGACTATAGTTAATAACAATATATTGTATTCTTAAAAAAATGCTGAGAGTGGATATAAAGTGTTCTTACTATAAAAATATGTGGGGTAATGCAGATAGACGTTAATTAGCTCCATTTAGTCATTACACAATGTATATGTACTTCAAAACATCATGTTGTACATGATACCTATGATTTTTACTATCAATTTGAAGAAAATATTAACATTTTTTAAAGAATTAAAACCACCAATTAAACATACTATCATGTGTTTTATTAGGTTCTAAAAATAAATGAGCAAAGAATATGAATAGACATTGATCCAAGAAATACATACAAATTGCCAATAAGCATATGAAGAAGTGCTCAATATCATTAGTCATCAGGAAAATCCAAATCAAAAACCACAATGATATACTACTTCATACCCATTAAGATGGTTAAACCCAAAAAGTCAGGTAACCATGGCAGGTTGTAGATAAATCAGAACCCTCATACACTGCTGGTGGGAATGCAGAAGAGTGCCACCACTTTGGAAAACAGTCTGCAGTTCCCCAAACAATCACAGAGTTACCACAATACTTCTACTTTTAGGTGTATACCTAAGAGAAATGAGCCCATATGTCCACACCAAAACTTGTACACGAATGTTTACAGCAGCATTATTCATAACAGCCAAAGAGTGGAAATAACTCAATGTCAATCGACTAATAAATGGATAAACAAAATGTTGTATATCCATATAATGGAATATTATTCGGCCATAAAAAGGAATGAAGTTCTGATACATGCTATGACATGAATGAACCTCGAAAACATGCTAACGGAAAGAAGTGAATTACAAAACACCACATAATATGACTCCATTCATAAGAAATATTCAGGACAGGGAAATCTATCTATAGAGACAAAGTAGATTAGTGGTTGCTTAGGGCTGGAGTAGGGAAGGTGAGAATGCGGTGATGGGAGAGAAGGGAGTGAGAGCTAAAGTGTACAGGTTTTTGAGATGAAAAAGTTTTAAAATTAGTAGTGATAGCTGCACATCTGTGAATATATTAAAAATCGCTGAATTATATACTTCAAATAGGTAAATTATATGGTGTGTGAATATCTCAGTAAAACTGTTAAACAAAATAAATGAATAAAGACTTCCAAAAACAATAAAAAAAATCAGAAATCCAAATGTCAATCAACTCAAAAATAGAAAAATATTGTATAATTATGTAATGCACCACTGAAAATGAATCACAGTTAAATATATCAAAATGAATGAATATAAAATAATCTTAAGGAAGAAAAATCAAGTTATAGAAGATTAGGATTCATGTAAAGGAAACATGCAAAATAGCAATGGAATTATTAACACAAAACTCAAGAGCATGAATAGCTACGGAGGGGAAGACAAGAGATGTGAAAAAGAAGGGACAGCCAGGGACTTCAAAAGTACTGATAACGTTACATGTCTTAAGCTGAGTGCGATCTGGGAACACAGATCATTTAATCATTTTAAGTTGTTTCCATAGTTTTTAGAAATGTTTTTTAAAATGTAGCTTTAATCTGAAAAGCATACCTTTTATTTTTTATATCTTCCATAGTCCTTATGGGAGTGCCTTATTCACAGAAGGTTCTTACATATAAATATGAATATATATACATACTCTCCACATACATTATGTGTGGGGGAGGGGGGCCAGCAAGTTTTAAATCAATTCAAATTTCTGAGTGCCAACATGGGCAAATCAGTGAACTATCTTCCAAAGGGATGAACAATGATGATTCTTCCTACCCCAGTCATAAATGAATTTCCGAAAAAAGTTACATAAATCGGTACAGTACAAAGGCGGCTATATATTAAATGTTATGGAAGTACACAGAAAATTTTAGGAGAGCACAGATGAGGGTGAGATTAATTCTAACCTGAGATAAATTAGAGAATCTCATGGAGAATGTATCTGAGTCAGGCCCTGAGGGATAGGTAAGATTTTGATAGGCAGAGGATGAGGAAAGGGTATACCAAGGGAAGAAAACAGGATGAGCAAAAATAATAATTATTATTACACATTTTGAAGTTATAATAAAAATAACTGCTAATATTTACTGATTGTATACTATGTGCCAAGCACCATTCTAAGTATTTTTCAATGTACTATTCAATTTAATCTTCAAGAAAACCCTACGAAGTAGATACTATTATTATCCCCACTTCAGAGATGAAGAGACACAGGGAGATTAAGTAACTTAAGCACAGTCACCATGGTAGTAAAGGATGAAGCTATAATTTGAACCTGGTTCCATAGCCTATGCTCTTAACTACAAAAGGGTAGAAAACTTCCACCTAACACATTCAAAGAACTAAATTCCAACTTACCTTGTTTATAGGAATCATTGCTATCTGAGAATACATGGTATGAAAGGAAAGGGCACTTAAATGGAAGCCACTGAAAACAGGAGCCAAAATTTCATTGTAAATAATAGGAGCAGATCAGGAGAGATTTAGCTGAGGCAATTTTGAATAATAAAACAATGTTGAAAATGGATTTGTTTTAGCTTATATATTTAATAAAATATAGGATGTAACTGTAACTCTGGGCTAATTCTTATAATGAATAAACTGTTGATTACATAATTCTTTAAACTGTATGATTCCTTAATAAATGGCATCACAATGGCATAATGTAAAAATAAATACGGAGACCCAGATTATAAATGCTTGAATGATGAACACCATGTGTTGGGTTAAGAAGCGAGTATCAAGAGACTATACATGAAAAGTAGGTTGAGGCCAGCTCATGAAAGCCTTAACATCTCAAAAGAAGAATGGTAAACAAGAAGAACTGGAAGGAAGAAATAGGAGACACATTTCAGAGACAGAATCAACAGGACTTCATGGTAGTTTGAATGGGGTATATGACAGAATAAGAAATCAAAGAGTACAAACATTGTGCCCAAGAGAATTAACATCAGTAAAGGAGGGACTTATAAAAGAATTTAAAAAACACATAAAAAATAGGTTTGGGAGCCAAAGCAAAAAGCTAAATTTGGTTGAAACTGAGGTACCAGAGGGGTACTCTAGAGACTAGCATAAGCCACTGAATCTGAGTCCATGTCTCTGGTGAGAACTTGAAACTATGTAGACTTAGAACCCACAAGATGCAAAAGATGAAGCTCCAGAAGTGGATGAAGAGATTATCAAGGAAAAGAAGATATACAGAGAAGACAAAGCGGGTGAGGAAAATATCTGGAGTGTTGTCTAAGTTTAAGAGTGGGGAAGAGGTACAAGAATGCCTAGAAAAAATGATTAACAGGCTTAGAAGTACAATTACCAAAAGCAGGAGAGAAAAACAGCAGTGTACGAAACTGAAAAGGAATCTAGATAAGCTACAGCTTAGAAGAGGCTGCTGGGTTAAACATAAAATGGTCAGTGGATATGCTTTTACAAATCTTTGACTCTACCATGCCAAGCACTGTACAGATAGAAGTGCTCAAAAAATGTGTTGTGTGAATGAGTAAATAAATTTTGATAGTCAAAGTGAAAGAATCATCCAATATAACCAAAACATTCCTGAATATGTTAGTGAAAATGTCAATAATTAACAGTACTATAGTAAGACCTCAGGCTTAACTGTAGAGAGGATTTTAAAAGAAGTATTTCCCTTCTATATAATGACAAAAAAGGATTCTGTGCATGCACTAGATTTTGGAGACAAATATCCCCCAAGATATTAAATTCAATAAGACAGATACATTTTACATTTTCCCAGTAAGCAGAAACCTGTCACTTCTCACTAAGAAAATGTAGTCAGAAGGAAGATGGGGAAAAAGCAGTAAAAAAATGAAGAGTAGAAACAAATCAAACCTGAAAGAACTAAGATATTTCAAAGGCCCAATATGTTACTGACATATTCTTAGGTCTGCTTTCTTTATCCACTTCTTATACTTCCCTACCAAAAACCTTGAATGAGAAAAATGTCAAGTCCAAAATCCGAAAATTTGAACAGGGGTCCCTAACACCCTTCCAGTCTTTCTGCACCCAATAAAAATTTTATTAAAATAGAAAAAAAATCTGATTTCATGGTAGAAATTTTAATTATTACTTTTCTCACCAAAGTCTAAACCATCTAAAAGCAGTATTTCCTATTTACAACCAGATACAGAGTCTCCCAAATGGGTTGAGTTAGGGATTCCCCAAATAGGAGAGAAGAGAAGAAAGAAAATAGGTATCTGGGTTCCTCTTGTATAATCAGTGAATTTTAACTCAAATTAAGCCTAGAACCTTGAAGACAAGGAAATCATTAAATGCTAGAAATTACAGCATACAAGAATAGAAAGACTTCCTCAAAGCATTTCTCCTTATGAAAGACAGTACAAAGGCTTCTTTGCATCTGTATCCCTCAAATTTTTGGTGATACCAAAATCTGAATTCTGAGCCAGAAATATTCCTAATATATTGCTGGACATAACTTAAAATAGGAAGTAGAATATGACAATGGCAATGATGGCAGCAGCATGGTTTAAACAATGGAACTATCTAAATTCAAACCAGGAATTAGAAGAGTGGCCTACCAAACTTCTTATGTAGTCCTAGATTGAGGAAAACCATTATGTTGAAAGGAAAAAGAAAAATGCTTCAAAAGGTAGTGGGAATTTCAGGTAAATGGACTAATTGAGTAAACAGAAGAATCAGTCAAAAATATACCCATTAACTGCTAACCTGATGACTCATTTGCAAGCTCAAGTTGCTTATCACTAAGTAATATCTTACGATCCTTGACTAGGTGGACTCTTATTAATCAAGCTTTGGACTAGCCTGTAATTAATATATTTGAATGACAACACAACACTAAGGCCAATTCATGTGCTATAACAATGCTGATCCTAAATTACGTAGGATACACAAAACCTCAGAATATTTAAAAAAGAAAAAAGCAACAGCAGCAGCATGAATCAAAAGTCAATCAAAGGACTCCACAACTGTCCACCTCAGGAAAGTTAAAGTGCTTACAAAATAAGATCTTAACTTTCTAAGCAATATCATGCTTCACTGTCTCCTGTCTATGACTATGATGGGTCATATCAAATTATTAAAGACACACATCCTATATATGAAAGAAGATGCTATTAACTGTGAAGGGGAGCAGGACAGAGGTTGAAAGGAAATGTGGCATGAATAGAAAGGTATAGCACTTCCAACCTTTTTTCTACTACCCAGTTCCTAGTATCAGTCTCTAAAGCCCAGAGGTCACTCTTCCAAATACAGGGGCTGAACCATATATGGTATATGGCAATGACAGTAAGATGTTCTACTTTGCCTATGTCAACAAAGGGGCAAGCTGGACATGGTGGAGCACATCTATAATCCCAGATACTCACAAAAGGCTGAGCCTAAGAGTTCGAGATCAGCCTGGGCAACACAGTGAGACCCTGTCTCAAAAACAAAAACAAAACAAAGACAAATGGGCAAGATGTACCTCTCCACCCACTTTCTTCATCACAGAATCAATTGTCAAATAATTTGCGTATACTGCTCCCTACACACACATACTAGGCTATCTCTCTTCATAAAACCCCAAGAAACCTCAGTAGCTCATTCTATACTGATGGTTACAGTCTGTCTCAAATATCTGCTTTCCTTGAAAAGAAAAGGTCACTACCAAACGCCTCTGTGTCAGTTGTTGTGTTGGTTTCTTATCCTTTACAGGCCAAAGTCTTTAATTCAACTAACTGACAAGTCCAGGTCTGGATTGAAATTTATTTCCATACTCACCGTATATAAATAAAAAGATAAGCAGGTAAGTGAAAACAATATTACAGAATGTCAAGAGAATATATGACTTTAAAGCATTTCAATACGTAAAAACGCACATTAAAAATACTATTTACAAAAAAGTTTTTATTACAATAGATTTTTAAAGATCTCTACAGGTCAAGGTTACATCAGTAAACTGAAAATAAAGTATATATTTGAAGGCAAGTAAATATCTTCTATAACATTCCATAATTTCTATTTTCCACTATTCAGATTAAGAAAGTTCTACAGTAAAGACGATAGGAATAGATCCAAAGACAATCATGGTGATAATCCAAAAAATAAAATGCTTTTAAATATTTTTTTCTTAAGTTGGGAGAAACAGCCAAATAATATTTATGAAACAAAGAAGTAACCAGGGTTTCAAAACTTAGCTGTAAGAAGTTCTACCCCATATATTAAGCCTAGAACAGACAACAGCCTCTAAAACATGTTTACAGGAAAATAAATATTCCGTAATACATATGGCAAGCCTTCTCTGAGTCCTTTTTCCTTTGTTCTTTCTTCAGACTCAGTTTCCCACTTTACAGCTTCTTCTCATATGACTCAATAAAGAATAAACAGGCTGGAAGTTAAACTGGTTGAACAATCTCTGAATAAGATACTGACACTGCCTGTTATTCTTTCTTTCACTAAAGTTTGATGACTTTTCTTTGGCCACCCTCTTCAATCTTCTGATAACCAAGATGAGTGCCTCCTCCTCTTAATCATAAGCACTGTATTAAAGACTCTCCAACCCAAAGAAAAACACAAAAACAATCTTGGGAGGGGCACAGCTGAAAAAGAACATGTTCTTAACTTCTCATTTACTCTCTTCTCTGGCTAACTTTTGCCATGCCGCTGCCATCACCACCATCAGCACCATCAGCACCATCACAACCACCCTCCCCAAGACTTAAAACAACTGCTTTAAATTTCTTTTCATGCAGCAAGCAATAGCTTGTAAAAGGATGCAAACCAGCTGAAACATTTGACAGACAGTGTTAAATACCAGGGAATTCCTATCAACCAATTTACTTTAAAAGGCGCTTTGATGTTGGCTATCTTTCATGTACCTCTTTCATGGCACATTTATAAAGAAGACGGAGCTGAAGTAAATCAAGACCCAAGGTCACGTCTAGAATTACAGCACTGTAGGTACCTGATGAAATAGGGATTAATGCTGCATGAGTAGAGAATAAATAAAAGCACCTCTACCCACCAATCAGGCAAGTTTTAAAAGTGCTTCTGAACTTTATTCTGCAACTAGACCTGAGATATCTTTAATCCCCCATGCCCTTGAAACCTAATTATCATAATGTGAACCCAAATGTTAGGGTTCCTTCAAAATGCAAGTGCTATGAAGCGGAAAAGTAATGGGAATTAAACTGGGCGTAACCTTAGAAATGTACGGATGTGGGGAACTTAAAAGAGGTATTTCATTAAGTTAGGAGAGCATAATACAAAGATTTAGCCACATAAAATACACAGAATCAAAAGGTTTACCGACCCCCCACTGCAGCCAAAAGATATATAAAACACAAATAAGGTGAATTCAAGAACTACTGTTTTCAACTATCAATTTCTGGCCCCCGAATCTCCAAGTTCTATATAACCAAAAGAAAAGGATCTCAACAAAGGATTTCAGTAATTTTGAATTCAACTAATGCAACTAAAATCAGAGAGAGAACCAAAATAATTCTTCACAACCCAGTTTAAGAAAAAACCTAGATATTCCCTCAATAAGAAACTGAATACATTTTTTAAAACGTGTTGGCCAAAGGTGAGGCAAAACAGTAAGCTGTTTAATCCCAAAGAAAAGAGGAAAATATGGATAAGAATAGGCCAAAGAGTCAACAATCTTAAAGTAAAAATGGTTCCAGTGGTAGCAATTGATATATCCCTCACACATCTAATTTACCCTAGAAACTATGATGGAAAAAAAGAGCTAACACTGCTTAATAGAAATACATTCATCTTGAATTCACTACATTACCTGTTGTTCACCAAAACACAGAATTCAGCAGAAATTAAGACTGCACTGGACCCTATCTACAGAGATGGTTACTAAAAGTCCTAAAGGATGGACACTACAACCCTAATATGGTTCCTAACTTCACCAAGAACACCATTAATAAGAGGGTCTATATATAATTATTTCATCTACCTATTTACAAGCATTAAAGTCTCAGAAACTATCCTTTTCTACTCAACTGAACTCTCTAACAGAAAATACTGTTAATCTGATGTATGCTCTTTAAGAACAAAATTGTATACAGGAAATTGGTGAATTCCACTCTATTTTCAAAATGGCAGTAAAATGTCAGTTTGGAGGAGTATCTAGGAGTGTAAAACTGTACATACGCAAACAGATTAGACAGAGAAAAAGTAAGGCATTGTTTCCTCCACTTCTAAAGGTTATCAAAAACACTGATACAATCCCAAAGTTCATCAATTGCTACATTAATGCTGAACATGTTTAATTTACATTTTAGGTTCTGTTAGAGCCTAAATATACTTGTCTAAACAGGACATCTGTTTTGGTTATAATACATTGTATCTTTGGCAAGAACTTAAAACTAACAAAAACAATCAAGAATCTTTATTGGATCTGGCAACAAAAGCAGATTTGTAACCAAAAATCTTAAAACAAGAAATGACCATCACTGGGCTTTAGGCCATTTCTAATCTAAGTCAATAAACAAAGATCTGCAAGAGGGGCTACAGTGAGGGGGTGGGGTAACTCCTGCAGATATTTAAATTGGACTTACGAACACAAAAACACATGGGTTACAAAACTGGTAAAACATTTTATTTTGATCAAAAACAGTCAAACTGAATTCAAATCCAAATAGTATTTTAAAACCACACACACATATACATACACACACATCCAAATTATTCATTCCTTATGTCTCCTTTCCCAACATACTTCACTGAAATGGTCTATTTAAATATGTATTTTTAAAAACATTCTGCCTTTCAACAAAATGAACATAAATTGTATTGACTGTAAAACATAGTTTTATTTTTTAATTTACCTTATATCACAAACATCCTAGAAAGGAAACACTATAAACAAGAGCCCAGTGTTCATAATAGTCACCGAAATGGAGATGAATATCAATAAAGAAAAGGCAACAAAATTCTAGAATGTCACAGTACATCATCTCAAGCCATCACTGTAGAAAGAAATGAGAAATTTAAATAACACAGCACCTTAACTTGTCATTAGGCATGATAATCTGGATATTAGTTTTAATATCCAGAAAACAATTTAGGCTATCCCAAGTTCCAAGGATGATTTATGGTTTTTATCATTCCTAGAAAACTGCATATAGAGGAGACAGGATATTTAAATACAAAAATCCTGATTTCAAATTCCACTTGTGAAACGGAAAATACTGCACTAGTGAGAAATTAATAACACCAACCACATCTTTTCCTCCATATAAAACAGTATTAACTTCATAACATTATGAACTTACATAGCTAAATAGATCTTAAGTTATATAGCTAAGTCTACTGATTTTTTGGAAAGTAAGTTTCTTTAAACCAAAGCAAAAGAAAAAGGTCCAGGTGGTTCAGGACAGGGGAGATCTGCTGCACATTATTCTGATAAAGTCACCCACAGAGTAAAAAGAAACCCGAGAAATCATCCAAAAATCTCTACCAAAAATTCCCCCTACCATCACAAAATTAATGTATCCTTATTAAAATTCATATTGTTAGATTAGGTCCAAAAACTCAAGTCTTTCAAAAACTTTTTTGGTTCTGATTCTAACACACCTCAGTGTCCACAAATTTGAAAAGCATGTCTCCAAATCTTGACTGAATTATTGACTAAAATGTTAACTAATAGGATGTTTGTGGCACACTAGAGACCTCAAACCAGACATCAACACATTAGCTAATCAACATCTTTTTGGGAGCCACATAACCAAATCTCCACTTTGTCCATAAGGGTATTAAGAGACTATCAATAGCTGTGCTGAGGTCCAGATGTTTCTACCAGTCTAATTTTCCTAACAGAAAATGAAATAGGTTAAGACCAAAATGTTTTATTTGTAAGAAACGCATGGTGATGTCCAGTGGTTATTTTTCTACTGTCCCTTCCTACCTAAGTGCTCATCAACCATTCCTTTATAATTTAATAATAATCTTACCTGTCCAAGATTACACTCAGTCATCTATACAACCTATTTTATTTTCCCTCTGGAACAACAAAATAACATCAGTTCATCTCCAAGCTTCCACAATTTCTCAACAATTACCAATAGTGGTATCAAAATTTTAGGTACAAGTCCACCCAGAACTCCAGAAAATGTTTCATCTGGGCCAGAAGATAAAATAAGAAACAGAAGATCTCTTAATATCTTATTTTAATTATGTTTTAGTTTTCTTTTATTGATACTTATTCATCTTTTCAGCCCCCCAAATCATCCTATCTCACAAATCAAAAGAGAAGTTGAACAAGTCTACTCTTTTATCCACTGATTAGGATTATGATATTATCTAGAAGCAATGAGATTTCTTTTCTAACTCTCTTTACCCAAAGATAATCATTAAAAGACTTTTATGCTATACATGGGGGGAAGCAGGAAAAGGAGGGATTCAGTTCTTAAATTTTGGTCTTCCAGAACTATTTTTAACAGATCAGTAACTTCCCTCTTACACACATTCTTGGTTACTTACACTTCTTTCAGCTTTGTATATGTCCTTGTAAAATCCACACCTGGCAGGGAGTATGCAGTCAATACATACAAATTAATTTACTTTTAGTTCCTAATCTTTTTCTGGTTGCAAAGCCCCTGGAAGTCAATGTGCTCTACTGAGAACACAACAGAATATTTGCATATTATATAATATAATTAAACATATAAGAGCTAAATCAGATACTAGTTACTAGTAGACACCAACAAATTAAGAAAAATACATAAATGTAAGATAAATTGTTCCAAACTTGGTTTGGCAAAGAAACTTTCTTGTATGAATGACATAATTCATACAAGAAAGGTTCCTTTCTTTTTTTTCTTCTAGGGGAAAAAAACATACTTGATAGAATACTTAAGCAATTTTCTGACATACTCTAATAGGTAGAAGACTTGTTCTAGCAAACCAATCACCCAAACATTTTTATTTGTGTTTTTCTCTACTGGAATTATGTTCTCTTTTCCATAAAATTTTGTTACAAAGAGTGCATCTCTGAATTGGCCTATTAAAAACCTTTTGCCTTGAAATAAGATTATAATAAAGTTTTATCATGTGTTAATAACTAAAGTATTTGTAAAGTTTTCTTTGACATGAGGAATTTTAATTGAGATTGGGAAAATTCTATCCATTAATTTAACTTTTTTCCAAGGAATATGGTAAGGATCATGGCTCATTATTTTACTGGAAGAGTACATTTGTCCAGCTTACATATCCCAATGTGTTCTCAGAACCATTCCTCTATTTACTTCCCTTCAGAGGATCTTTTGCAATTGTATAAGGTAGTCTGAATTTTATTTCTAAAAGCTTTCTAACTTCTCAGTAAAGACTCTTGCGGGCCAATCTTCTCTCTTAACTTTGCATTTTTAAAGGCTGAAAACTGTAATTTCATAGAGCAATGTTCCTCAAACTTTTATGATCAACCATAAGAAACACATCACAACCCAGTACACATATATACATGTAACCAAAACAAATATTCATGAGACAATACTTAGCTTACTGCATGAAATGCCCTCTATTTCCTATTCTTTTCTATTTAACTTTTTAAAAATGCTGGTTAAGACGCACTAAATGGACTTCACATTTCACCAATGGGTTACAAGTTACAATCTGAAAAACATAGGCTCATACGACACAGAAAAATGAGGATAAAGAGAACATGAATCTGGATAGTATGGATAAAGGAGGACACAAATTCATCACACTTTACTTCAGCACTGGAGTCTTCTTAAAATGTGTCTCATATACCAAGAATATCGGTTATACCTATACTTACCTAAAAATTGTACTTCTTGTCACTATCGCCTTACCTTGCTTTTAATTCTTGATACAGAATTTTTCACCAACTGACATATATAAAAATACACACACTCTTATCTTTTTGTCTGTCTTCTCCATTGGAATGCAAACTTCAAGAGGGGTAGGGACTTTGCCTGTACTGCTTTCTTTCCCAGCACACAATACTGTGCCTGTAACATAGTCTTGGTTCTGAGGGATACTCTGCTGACTGGATGATCGAAACAGGAGTAATGGGATGTTTTTGTTCTAGCTAAAGCATCAAAGGCCTGTTTTGCCAACAATAGCAATCATTCATCTGTGTCCTATAAAATGGGTGTGTTTTGGGGGGAGGGACAAGAGTTAGACTTGAGAGAAAAAATTTCTTTGGGAAGATGATTGGGATGCTATGCCATTTTTCCTGCTCTCTCAACATTTCACATAGAAGAATATCTCATCCATCACATGCCAAGTGGAAGGCGCTTTACTGGGAACACTTCATGAGCTTCACATATGCTCCCAGAGTATGGAGTGCTAAACATGCCTTAGAAAAATGAAAAGGAAGAGCTACCTCTGACAGCACAGAAAAGTACAAGAGGAAGGCAAGGATGGGTAAGAAAGAGAATAGGTGCAAGCCTAAGGTATGAGAGAGAAAATTTAAAAGGGAGACAGCTGTGCTAAGGATAAGCTGTTGATACCCATTGGAGAGCAGGCAAGGAGGTATGAGCCAAATGGGCCTGCAGGAAGAAGTGTATGGTAGGCTTTCAACAGATTCTGTCCAAGAGGACTGAGCAGCGAAGTAACGCAGATGAGAATGGCTGGTCTGAAGCCCAGGGCGAGAGAAGGAAAGCCATAACCAGTCAACCAAAGAAGATATCAGCTACATCACAGCTTCCTTGCAAGGGAAATCTCAGAAAACAAAAATAGAAAAATTCTTCATAACACCCCATGAAAGGAAGCATCAGCAATTGTATTTGGGCCACCCAGAGGGCCTTACCCCAGAATGCAACTGGTCCCACTTCCTAAGACCATGCTCTTTTTTCCCATGCTACTCCACTCTGAGGACTAAACTTAGAGGGATCAGAAAATTCAGCTAGTGAGTTAGGGAAAATAAGAATAACAAAGAGGAAAAGAGAGAGGACACTAACTACATATCCCGATAAACTAACCTGCAAATCCCGATAGTGAAGTAGCATCTTCCAGAGTGAAAGAGGCCTGACATTTAATTGAACTTATCTCAAGTTTGGATCTCTGATTATTGCACTACAGAAGATATTTCAACTGCTGAAATGAGACTATGCTAATAACTAAGAGGGACTGAAAAGGCTATGAGACCTGTCCATTATTTCAGCCAGGAACGAACATGAGTTCATCCAAACATGAGTTGAATAAAGAGAGGAGGTAGTAAAGAAAAAGTTGTTCTCTTCTTGTACCTTACTGAGTCTATCTCATTCAATCTGACATTTATAGGTGATAAATATTTGTTGAATAAATGAATGCATAAGTAAAATAACTACAAGAAAATATATAAAAACATTAATATGATTCTCTGAGTAATGACAGTACCAATAATTTTTATTTTCCTCTGGGTATTTTTCTGGACTTCTCAAGATCTCCCTCTTAAGCATCCTTTAAAAAAAAAGAATATTAAATTGCCAGAGAATGAAGGCTATATCATGTACATGTTTCCACAGGCATAGATATCCTGAGGAAAGAACTAAAAGAAACAAGTAATTCTTAACTCAAGTGTAAATTTAGATGATTGAAAAGATCATTATCTATTTTTTTTTATGGTCTTACTTTGGTGTCGGAAAATAGCAAATTTTACATTTAAAGAAAATTTAAAATACAAAACCAATATGAGAAATGAGCTACCTGGATTCATCTTTCACTGAAAACAACTAAAAGACCTATCTTCTTAAAGAGATCTATGAGTTGGCAAGAAAGAAATTTTTTTGCTAAAAAAAAAAAATGAAGTATATGTGGGAACCTTGATTTCTGAAGCTGACTTTCAGCTGAGGGCATCTGCTGAACCAAGTGCATTTTATTTTCAAGTTTCATGGCCTCACAGAGCTTCACAGAACCAGAAGAATAAAATAGAAAACCCAGGATCCACCTAAGATATAGATGTTAACAAAAGATCCCCCACCTACTCTCACATATGTAAAGCTAGGACTCCAGAGTTAGGTTAAACCCTCAGTGTAAGAATAAAACAGAACTATAACTCACTATACTCTACCCCCAGGAGATCACAATGAAAATGGACTATCTCAAACTCAGTCACGGGCTGATGTAGCGGGGAACTACTGATGAGAATATGGAACTATAAGCCATCTGTCTGGTCTGCAGCCTAAATTCACACTACCTGGGTGGTCAGAAAAAAACTCAAGCCGAGAATTTAATTTAAGTGATCCCAAACTGGTAGTATCTAAGGGAGTGTAGCAGAAGCAAATGCAAATCCTCTTTGAAGCAACTTACCATCAGTCCAGGCCTAAATGAATTCCCACAAAGTTCCACCAAAATAAAAAGCTTACCTTAAGAACTGAACAAAAAAGGAAAGAAAGCATCACAAAGCAGAACCAGCAATTACAGCATATAGCAGAAATAAAATTACAAGGATTCTAGAATTATTACACAGATTGTAAAATGCAAAATTTAACATGGTTTAAAAAAAGACAGGCTTGAAAATATAGCCAGGAAAAAAGTGACAGAATCATCAAGCAGATTTGAAAAACACAGAACTTCTAGATGAAAAATAAAACTGAAATTAAAAATTGAATGGGCCAGGCATGGTGGCTCACGCCTGTAACCCCAGCACTTTGGGAGGCCATGGCAGGCGGATCATGAGGTCAGGAGTTCAAGACCAGCCTGACCAACACAGTGAAACCCTGTCTCTACTAAAAATACAAAAATTAGCTGGGCATGGTGGCAGGCGCCTGTAATCCCAGCTACTCAGGAGGCTGAGGCAGGAGAATCACTTGAACCCAGGAGGCAGAGGCTGCAGTGAGCTGAGATTGTGCTGCTGCACTCCAGCCTGGGCGACAGAGAGAGAGTCCATCTTAAAAAAAAAAAAAAAAAATTAAATGAGTGGATGTCAATTCTCCAAAAATTAAATTACAGACTTAATGAGTTAAAACTATAAAACTTCTAGTACAAAACAGAAGAAAATCACAGTAACCTTGATTTTGCCAAAATTTCCAGAATAGAAAACAAAAAGCAAAAACTATACCAAAAAATTGATAAATTGGACTTTCTCAAAACTAAAATTTTTGCCATTCAAAAGATCCTGTTTAAAAAAAAGTGAAAAGTCACAGACTGGGAAAAAATGTTTATGAAACATATACCTGACAAAGGGCTTAATTCAGAATAAATAAAAATACTCTTATTCAATAATCACAAGGAAAACAATCCATTTTTTTAAATGCAAAGATTTGAACAGATACCTCACTAAAGAAGATACATGGATGGCAAATAAGCAAATGAAGATGCTCATGATCATTAATCACTAGGAAAATGCAGATTAAAACCACAATGAGATATCACTACATATCCACTAGGGCAGCTAAATTTAAAAGGCTGACCATACCAAGCACTGACCATAACTTCATAATTCCATTGAGGATACAGAGAAACTAGTGTTACGGAATCCTTAGGGTGTCACTTTTCCAGCCAGACACCTCTGTGGCCAGTGGTGCCTTTGTCCGAGTTTTGCTCAGGCCCCCTGGGCTCGTTCCACTCACTCAAGCTGGCAGGCTGTGCTTGGCTGGTGCTACTGGCCCAGATCTCACCCTGCCAAGGGTGAGCCAGGCGTAGTGCGGTGAGCGGTGTGTGAGTGAGCACAGGGTCCGGCCACTGTGCAGAGCTAGGCGTGCCAGCTGTGGCAGGGCAGGTGGTGCCATGCAAGGCTGTGGCTGGACCAGATATATCACATGCAACTACCACTGCAGACACCCACATCTGGACGAGGGGAACACAGTGGTTCCTGGAAGGTGGGAGATGCCAGGAACCAGAGAGTCCCAAAGAGGGTGCCATAGCCCTGGCTTAGGGAGCACCTAGGTCTGGGCTCCCCAAAGGGCTGCAGCTCTTTTCTCCTTCTCAAGGTCTGCAGCATGGCAGGCAGGAGGGCATGTTTCAGCCCTGTTTGTGTTACAGCTGTTTCAGATCCACCATTTGGTGGAACCAGAGTTCTTGTCCCATGTCCAAGAAGAATGAGGTATGTGGACAACTGGAGGGTGAGCAAGGCAGAGAGGAACTTCACTGAGTGACAGAACAGCTCTCAGAAGACCCAAAGCGGGCAGCTCCTTTCCGCAGGCAGGTTGTCCCAATGAGTGTCTAGCTCTCAGCAGAGAGGAGACCCACAGTGGGTAGCCCCTTTCTGCAGGCAGGTTATCCCAATGAGTGTCCAGCTCCCAGTGGAGAGGAGATGGGCAGTGGGTAGCCCCATTCTGCAGACAGGTCTCCTGACAAGTGTCCAGCTCTCAGCAGAGAGCAGACCCAAAGTGGGTGGCTCCTTCCCATAGCTGGTAGTCCCAACATTTGTGTCAGTCTGGCTGAGTCCAGGGTTTTTATGGGCTCAGAAGGGAGGAATGCATGCTGATTGGTCCATGGGCAGCCATGGGCATGTCTGGAAAAAGTACCATAAGTTCACACTCCCGGCCACAGACTCCACCCAGAACTGGCAACCTGGCCTCCAGACTTCACGTAGGCCCTGGCTTGGAGGTGGGGGTTTCACTGAGACCTGCCCCTTGCTGCACAGGAATGTCTGCCTCCCACCATCAGCATGCATCCATGGTGCATGGGCTGTTTGTGCCAGGGGACACCTGTAGGCCTGTGCCAAGCTGCCCTTAGCCATCACCCCACCCCAGCCTCACTCCTGTGTTGGTTGGTGCCCAAAATCCTGAACAGGCTGAGGCAGCAGGGGCTGGTGTCAGCACTGCCTCGAGTGCAGGCACACCTGTCCAGGTCGCAACAGTGCCTAGGCTCGGCCACAACTTTGCTCTGTTCTGGAGCGGGTGCTGGGAGCAGGGAGAGGCCAGGGAGGTGGAGCAGGTACTTCCGAGCCTGCAGGGGAAGGGGCATCGCAGGCCCCTGAGAGTGCAGGGATGCCCAGGTCCAGAGCTGTAGCTGGGCAGCTGCAACTGCGCCCAGGAGCATGGGGCTCCTCTGCCCCACTAACCTGGTAGGAGGTGGGGCTCCCATCACCTGTGGAGCATGCAACCCAAGCCACAACTCCCCTGCTGCAGCCAGTGTCTTCCCAGCAGCTGCTCCAGATGGGCTGCCACTGCCACCACTAGAATTCTGATACATTGTTGGTGGGAAAGTAAGATGGTACAACCATCTTGGGAAAAAGCTTGACAGTTTCTTAAGTTAAACATGTACCGTATACCATATACCACACAACACAGACTTTCCACACCTAGCTATTTACCTAAGAGAAATGACAGCATATATCCATACAGACTTGTAAATGAATGCTCATGCTGCTTTATTGGTAGTAGCAAAAAACTAGCAACAACTCGAATATCCATCAACAGGTGATTGAATAAACTAATTGTGATACAGCCAAACAATGAATACTGTTCAGGAATAAAAAGAACCACTGGTTTCTGCAGCAACAAGGATGAAATCTCAAAATAATCATGCTCCATGAAAGAAGCCAATAAAAGATTATACACTGTATGATTTCATTATGTATAAATCTAAAAAACACAAACTAATGTATAACTACAAAAGCAAAATGAGTGCCTACCATATGTCAAAAGATTGAAAACTGCAAACCATTCTAGCATATACTTTAAACAAATGACCCATAAAACTGTAGAATTTTTCACGAACATTTTCAACTTTCATTTTTTCATGAACATTTCAACTTCAACTATCACAATTCAGTATGTGATAACTGAGACTCAGCATGGTTACATTCTGCAACTTAACTCCAGTTTAACTTTTTGCTCCTTTGGTAATTAGAATTTGCACCTTTGGATGACTTGCCCCCTAATATGTGTAAGTATCATGATTCGTAAGGTATTTTAAGGGTAGGGAGAGAAATGAATGAGAGAAAAGACAGATGAATGGGTCAGGTTTCCTGGGGTTTATGAATTAGGATATATATCATGGCATTTGTTAACCTATGGCAGCATGTCAGGGCAAAGAGTGTTGGAAGGAACAGATAAGAGGAAATGTGCTGGTAGATATGGCTGGAAAAGGTTTTTCAGGATGAGTGGCTGACAAGATTATAGATTAACCTATCAGATTATCTGTTCAGAAGGTATTAAAAATGGCTGCCAGAGAAAGACTGGAGATTTCAATTTCAGTGTAACTTCAAAGTGTAAGATGAGAAAACATGGTTTTCTCAAACAGGCACTTTGAATTGGCAAAATGATAATAAAATGAAATTAAACAGCTGATTTTTCTAAAGCACTTGCTATAAATTCCAATTAGATATCTGCATCATTTAAAAACTTCAAAAGCACATATTAGCAAACAAATGCAAAAAGTACATTAAAAGACTAATACAGTGTAAGTAGAGTTAAATCAGAACTGCAAAAATGGTTCAACTGTAGAAAATAGCTACCATAATTAACCACACGGGTAGATTTTAAAACCCAAATAATTATAGCAGAAAGGAGAAAACAGACTATAGGAGAAAGACTACCATCCAAAGCAAGTCTTAAATTGCAACAAAATGGGGCTCTTCTGAAAGAAAATGCCTAATAGAGACTATATTCATAAAAGTGCAAAGAAGGCACCAAAGATCCTGGCTAATACGGTGAAAACCCATCTCTACTAAAAACTATAAAAAAATTAGCCAGGCATGGTGGCGGGCACCTGTAGTCCCAGCTACTCGGGAGGTTGAGGCAGGAGAATGGCATGAACCTGGGAGGTGGAGCTTGCAATGAACCAAGATCGCGCCACTGCACTCCCGCCTGGGTAACAAAGCAAGACTCCGGCTCAAAAAAAAAAAAAAAAAAAAAATTTATATTAATGGGGTCTCCCTAAACTCAAAGATTAGCCCACACTTAACATATTTACTACAAATAGCCTTAAAAATAGGAGATACATAACACATTCCATTTTAAATCTTCACAGTGGTCAATGGTGCTAACAGGTAAGTAACATTTCCAAAGATGAAGATGCTAAAGCTAAAAGAGGATTAAAACTATATGGCTAATCAGAGGCAGTAGGTGGCAGGCCTGAACCTAGGTCGTCTCTATAGCCCACATACTTCACTTCATACCACAGCACCTATGGTGAGGCTCAACTAAAATGGCATCTAATTCATATCCATTAATAAGACTGAACATCTCATGATACCACAATACATAGATTTTACACAAGTACGATAGACATTATTACTATCCAAAGTGGTAGATTTTACTATCATCCCTATTGCATCAAGGTGAAAATAAACTTTATGTAAGTTTATTAATTTGCATAAGAAAATACTGCATCTAATTTCACAGCACTTTTAAAGACATATAATTTATATTTATAATAAAAGTACGTATATAAACAAATACAAACACACTCATAAAAAAACATATTGTTTATTAAACCCTTAGTGTTTTAATTTATGTTATCTCACTTTTAATACTGTTAAAAAACCTGTAAGGTAGGTATTCTTTTCCCCATTTTAAAAATGAAGGAAAGTGAAGCTAAGAAAGGCTAAGTAACTCTTCAAAACCTACATAACTAGTAAATGATTAAAACAAAAGATGAGGCCGGGCGCGGTGGCTCATGCCTGTAATCGCAGCACTTTGGGAGGCTGAGGCAGGCGGATCACGAGGTTAAGAGATCAAGATCATCCTGGCTAACACGGTGAAACTCCATCTCTACTAAAAATACAAAAAATTAGCCGGGTGTGGTGGCGGGTGCCTGCAGTTCCAGCTACTCGGGAGGCTGAGGCAGGAGAGTGGCATGAACCTGGGACACAGAGCTTGCAGTGAGCCAAGATTGTGCCACTGCACTCCAGCCTGGGTGACAGAGCGAGACTCTGTCTCAATTAAAAAAAAAAAAAAAAAAAAAAAAAAAAAAAACAGATGAACCCAGATTTGTCTGACCCCACAGTTCATCCTTTCCTTTCTAATAGTACATACTGCCTAAAGTTCAATAAAGGGATATTCTATAAGCAAATGAAGAAAAAACTGAAGACATCTTCACTACTTAATATTTTTTATGATTTGAAAGTTGTACTTATAACCACTACAAATGTATGCAAGATATTTACATGAAATTAATGTGAACAAGTTAAAAAAAAATCAGAGAAGGTACCTGAAATAAACTGAACCAGCTACATCAGTGCTTGTGTTAGTTTCTCAAAAGGACTGGGTGCACGTTTGCAGTTCCCAGAATAGGGAAGATCCACCGTATTTCCCAGGCCAACTTAAATTACAACCAGAGAAAGAGGGAAAAATTCTGCAGTGGATGTTTCAATCTGTTTCCTTCTTGAATCATGATCCCATGGCACCTATCGGTTTGTTCCTCACCTTCTCTTACTCCCCTTGTTACCCTGAGTTTGTTTTTCTGACTGACTCTGACTACACTCTTGGCACTCTTGACTATAATAACTGCCTGGCCTTTACCTTTTGGCCTACCTACACAAATCCTAGAATTCTTCCTGTGTTAGGTTTTACTTTCTGTTACTTTGTTGATCCTGTCAGTCACCTGCTCATCAGTCAACCATTCTTTTAGTTATTAGTTTTCTCACTAGCAGTGGGAGATAGCTCTTGATCACTTTCTGTTAAATATCAGCCATTATAACTACTCTCTCTCCTAGAATTAAATCCTTTAGGACTTAATATTCTACTATAGTTTGGAAAAGGAAGACATGACTATTGAGATCCAAAGAGGAAGTAGGGAAACAATGGTGAAAGAAAGCAGAACTACTACAAATGCAGGGGCAAGACTAGAGAAATTGGGTCTTTCTAATCCAAAGCTATTCACAAGTTATCTGTATGCCTATATGAAATAAAAGTTTGTGACCAAGGGATAAATGAGGAAAGAATACTGGAAATACTTTTTAATTCATAATACTTACCTTGGCTCTCAGTTCTGAAGGGTAATGATTCATAGGCTTCAAAGCTTTGGGAGAAAAAGGCTAAGTTATTCACAGTCTACTAGCTGCTAGCCTGGTACATCATTCTACTTATTATTCAATAGTTAACTAGAACCCTCACACAATGTATAGCCTAGAAAATCCAATGAAACTGAGCCCTAACGTGCTGCTTCTGTAAGAGGTTTCTGGACTCTGTCCTGCTCTAATCATTCCTGTCTCAAATTTCTCCAAGAGTCAGACACTTTACATTATCCTGCAAAGTTCTCATGAACACCAAGAGGTGGTCTGGAGGGCAAAGAAGATGTACATCTTAAAAAGAGAAGGGAGGATTCATCACAAAAGCAACTTTAAAGTTCCCATGCTTCTCCAAGAAAAGAGATATATGTAATAGCCTTACCAGTAAACAACATCCAGTGGTGCAAAATAATTCTTCATTATCAGGTCAGCAAAGTAAGCTTCTGTTTCCCTGCAGGCAGTTCCATTTCCAATCACTACTGTGCTGCAGCTTCAAGGCAGAAACAGAATGACAAACTGAATTTCAAGGCATGCTTTGAAATCAGCTGGAGAAAATGTACAGAATGCACAAATACTATTATATGATTCTCTTATTCTCTCATATATACAAGCAACCTGTCCACTGTTGCATAAGGAAAACACAGACTTATATGGAATAAAAGACACTGCCCTGCATTTGGTATAGGAGGCAGCAGAGAAGTATTTTACTGTCACACTATCTCAAAAAAGTCAGCTTTCTTCCCATCAAGAAGGAACCAAAATCAGAGATAAGTCAACTCTGGAGCATTCTAAGCCATCTAAGCCGTAATAAAGATATTATGATTAAATTATATAATATATTGTCAATTTCTGAAACTTCTAACTATAACCACATCTATTCCTCAGATGGAAAGAAGGCAGGGAGAGAGGGAGAAAATTGGAACAGAAGAATGAACTGCTCACATCTGCCCATATTACCTCCTTTATTTGTAATGGTGGCAAAGGAAGGGAGCAGCGTTTCTCAAGTCTCCACATGCAGAGTTCTCCAGCAATTTGCCCCAGAACTGTTTTATATGGTTTATTGTCTCTCACAAAGGCACCTCCCTTAATCCCTCCCTCCAAATTAGGGGCTTCAAAGGTATCTCTGGTTGACTGAGCCACTGATATATTCAAAAGATTACTTATTTTCATACTTGAAATTCAGCAAAAGTGTCTTTATTTTCTCCGCCTCTCGGAAGCCTTGTCCACAATGCAAGTAAACCACATCAGTATGAAGTATCTGACCTTTAAAAAATGAAAAGAATAAGCCATTTTATAAGAAATTACAAAGTGAAACACATGAATGATTTTGTTAAGCAAGTTGTAACAGAAAAGGAGACTGGCTTGTTTTTTATAATGAAGTCTGAACTATTCATATTCACTAAATCAGATTCTTCCTAACCTCTCTGAAGTATTGCTCTTTCCAATTTCACAGGATTCTGTTTGCTACACAAAACTACTATTAATTGGAGAATATGCTAGGATACCTAAAAGAAAAATGGTTTTCACTAACATCTAACATTAATAGTAGCAAAAGCAAACACTAACTGAATTGTTAGTATATGTCAGACACTGTTGTGAGACTATCCTATTTCTTTTTTTCTGGTTGTAGATACATGACTTTATTTACCTTGTGCATATTTAAGACTTATGAGCTTTTCTATATTGCATTATAAAGAAAAATATTTTTTATTGAAAATATTTATAACAATTAAATTTAAAATAATTAAAATTATTTTGATTAAAAGTATTTTTTAAAATTTGAAGATAACTACCTAAAGAATAAAACTGAGCTAAGAGACTAACTTACAAGTTAGGAAAAGAACAGCAAAATAACCCAAAGAAAGCAGAAGATAGAAAATGTTGAAGTTAAAAGCAAAAATTAACAGAAAAAAATGCAACAGAAAAGATCAACAAAGTGTAGTTACAAATCACTTAAGAGAAAAACATACTTTTAGCAATACCAATCAAGTAAAAGAAAGGATAGAAGATACAAATACAGGAATTATATTAGGAATAAAAAGAAGATATAACTAGAGATTGAACACAGGTTTAAAAGATATCTACCATTATAAACAACTTTATATTAAATTATGAAAACAGATAATTAGAAATATCTTACCAAAACAGCTTAAGAATATAGATGTGTTTGTGACATTTTTAGAACAATTATCCTATAAGCAATACAATAACTGAAAACTGATCTAACAACACACCCAAAAGAAAGTATCATAACCAAGTTCCATTAATCTAAGGAAAGTGTGACTTGACATTTTAAAAAATTCTAGTAATATAATTAATCACAGCAACATAGTAAAGGACAAAAGCCACATGATATATGAACAGATGCAAAAAAAAAAAACACTGATAAAATATATTTCCCACTGGCTGTAAAATGAACAGCATAAAAAGACAACTAGGATAACAAAAACAAAAAGTCACGACTATATCTAGAACATAGATAAAATATCCCCACAAACCCCCACCCTCCAAAAAAGCAGGTGGGAACAATGTACTGACAAGACACCTATGCATCAGCATCTGCATGGAAGGAAGCAGAAAGAAACAGTGGAATATATGATGGAACTGAGAACAGGAGAATCCCAAAAATGTCAAAGGCTACTTCCCTGGAAATCTCAACAGTCAGTTTGAGAACAGGAGCTGAAACTGAGAGAGATTCAGCACAAAGGGGATCCAGTACTTCTGAAAGGATTGGAAAACACTGATCCCTATGAACTCTTGAAACTAACTAGTAAAAGATACCTTTAAAGACAAAAATTCCACACTGAGGAGAAACAATTGGTAATCACATTCAAACTGAGCAAAGTAAAGATAGCAACAGCAAAGGAAAAAGAAAGCCCAGATAAAATAAAGGAAAGCAACAGAGAAGCAGATTCCAGAAACTATAAACTATCTCTCAATCCACACAGAGTTTTTTTTTTTAATGATTTGGAAAAAACAGAAGAGCAAGTTCTAGAGATATACAGTGAGAACAACTTGCCTGACCCAGCTTCTACTAAAAGTTCAAACTAACGTATGTAAAACTAAACAAAAGAAATGCATGATAGTCAAATTCTATATAGAATGATTATTTTTTTAAGCAAAAAAATTTTTAAAAGACTAATATAATGTCCTTACAGAAAGATGTGCCTAATGTATGAGAACAAGCTTCTTAAAAAAAAACATTACAGAAAATAAGAGTAACGTTAATTCTGGCTCATGCTGGTAATCCCAGCACTTTGGAAGGCCAAGGCAGGCACATAGCTTGAGCTCAGGATTTCAAGACCAGCCTGGGCAACATGACGAAACTCCGTCTCTACTAAAAATACAAAAAAAAAAAAAAAAAAAAGGCAGGCATGGTGGTGCGTGCCTATGGTCCCAGCTACTCGGGAGGCTGAGGTGGGAGGATAGTTTGAGCACAGGAAGCAGAGGCTGCAGTGAGCTGAGATCACGCCACTGTGCTCCAGCCTGGGTAAAAGAGCAAGACCCTGACTCAGTAAAAGTTAAATAAATAAAAGAATAACATAAGTCAAAATTAGAAAATCTCAGAAATTAGATGAGATAAACTGGGAATGAATTCGAGATGAAAGAAAAAATTATTTCAGAAATGAAAATCTAAACTTAAAAAATTAAAATAGTAAAGGCTAATAGAAAATAAAACAAGAAGTTAAAAGATCAAAAACATTAGAAATAAAGAAGTTCATAGGGAGCTATAACCCTATTTTTCAAAGTATCAAATGGAAATTCTAAAACTGAAAAACCAACCACTTGAACCCAGTAGATGGTTTTAGTAACAAATTAGACATAGCAGGATAGAGGATTAATTAACTTAGATGATCAACAGAAAATAAACAAAAAGGAGAGAAGAAACTGAAAGGTATAATATGTATGTAATTGGAGTTCCAGAAAGAGATGCTAGAAGCTCCACAAACCCTAAGTGGAATTCATGCAGAAAAGAAAAGACAAGAAAACCCATACATACACACCCACTGAAGCACATCATAAGAAAACTGAGAAACACAAAGAGAAAATCTTAGCAGCCAGAGGAAAAGGACATATTACCTTCAAAGGAACAATAACAAATAACCACAGTTTGGCTGACTTCTCAACAAAAATTACAGTAGCCAAAAAAAAAAAAAAGAATGACATCTTTAAAGTACTGAAAGTAACTGCCAATCTTGAATTCTACACCAAGCAAAAAATATTCTTCAAAAATGAAGGCAAAACAGAGATGTTTTCAGACAAACTAAAACTAAGACAATGTGACTCATTAAAAGTAATAGCATAGAGTTCTTCAGGCAGAAAGAAAATGATCTCAAATGGAAGCACGGAAATGCAAAAGAAATGAAGAATATCAGTGTAAATGTAAGTAAACAGGAAAAAAAATTGAGCAAAACAATAAAAATGTCTTTTGGTATTTAAAATATAAGCAGAATTAAAATGCATCATATATAAATGCATCACAATAATAGAATCTGATGGGGAATTAATAGAGTTCAAGTCCGAGCCTAATTAATCCTCAATATCTCTACTGAGATATAGGAAGCATATAAATGATAGTTGTATATTGAGGAGTTTGATCAACAAATGAGAGAAAAATGAAGTTTGATTATCTGGTTCCCAACACCCCTGTATGTGAGAAAACCACTTTTTAAGCCTTTAAAATTAACATTATTTCCAAATCCTCATGAAATGTATGAAGTGAAACTTATAACCAACCAAACAACTTTTACATGGAAAATTGCAAGACAACTTACTAGTAGGAGAAATTATAGCTAATTTGCAACCATGTTTATAACCAGGATCCACTCCCATTAAGGTGCGCCCTGGAACAGGGCTTGTTAAAAGGAGCTGACGAAGGTTCCGTCCAAACATCATTACTGATTCCTTCTCTGCATCTGATGTTAGTTTGGCTCTTTAGAAATAGAAGAAAAGAAAAAGTTTTTCATTCACCCAAATTTTCTTTCCAGAAAAGGAGCAGAATTCATTTTGTACAATTATTTCTCAAAGGATAATTTATTATAACAATATAACTTAAGAGAAAAATATACAAAAATTATATTGAGTCTATTTTCACTAATCACAGTAATATGATACCACAAGCAATTCTGAAGCAAGTCTTGTAAGTTTATCATACCTACATTACCTCTCTATCTGCTCTCTACTGTATATAAAACCCATATTTATAAATATGTGTATATGTGAGAAAGACAGAGAGTGTACGCACATTTGAATGTCACATGGGATGCAAACAAAAGTAGGCACAGTGGGCAGGGAGAAAATATCCCGGACAATGGAAACAGCATATGTAAAGGCTCATGGCTCATCATAGAAACAGCAAGTAATTTCGTATGCTAAAGTAAAAAGAAACAGCGAGACAGAAGTAGAGGCAAGAAAAAAACAGATCACAAAGGGTCATGCATGTTCTTCTCAAGAGCTTGGATTCTATCCTGGAGACAAACAAGATCAGCTGAAAGAAGTATACAAGCATGAAATTGTGAGATGAGAATTTTGAAAGGGCGATTTGTAATATGCATTGGAAAAGACAAGACAGAAGACCAAGATCATCTATGACGCTAGTTCAGTAATCCAGACAAAAAATGATGATGTCCTGAATTAAGACAGTCACCACGGAGATAAAGGGGAGGAAAAATTCAAGTTATAATAAAAGATGGCAAAATAGATAGCACTTTGTAACTGACAATGTAGAACTGATGACAGAGATAGATGTGAAAAATGACACATGGATGAATGATCATGACAGTCACGGGAATAAGATATGCAGACGTAGGCTATGCATAGTATACAGTCAACCAAATTAAGTGACTGCAAAATAAAATGGTCTAAAAAACAAACCAAGTGGGAGTGTCCTCCTCTTTAACTGCTATTCAGGTTAAGTATTCCTATCAGGAGGCGTATCTGTAGATAATACCTGCAAACTAACTTATAAACTGAAATAAGTTATATTATTTTAACCATGGGCATTTTAGAAAAAGAAAGAGAAAGTACTCTTGCTTATCTACTGCTAATGGAATTCAGAAACAGTTTATACATTAAATGATCCCACATCAAACTGTTTACATTAAACCTTGATGAAATTATTCCACATGCAGTGAAGCTACTCAAATCAAAAATATATGCAAAAAATGTCAAAAGTGCCACTAGACATAAGCAACATGAGAAAACAATAAAAAGAAAAACATACAAAAAGAAATTGAAATTTTAAATAACATAATTTTTTCCTTCAGGAAGAACCAAATTCCTAATTTTTAAAGTGTATGCCCTAGCTCTCAAAAGCAAGCGATGTTAGACAGCTTGAAGTGAAATACAATTCTAAAAGGAACAATATTTTTAGGCTACATCTAGGCTAAAATGGATGTAACAAGAGATTAAATGACTTTGGTAAAAAGAAATTGGACAACAGGACTATGTGTCTTTTTTAATAGTACCTGCTCACTCCCTGCTCTGAACCCATCTTAATTCAATGGTCAAGTCCAGCAAAAGAGAAACAAGCCCTACATAGGCTGCTAAAAATTCTAGAGAGGTTGAAGAGATGGCTACAAAACTACAGTTTTCAAGTAGCCCTTGCTGAAACCTACAAAGAAATGAGAATGAAGATAATCTATAATATTTTGGAAGGAATGAATTAGGGAATGTCTAGTTTCTAAAGATTGGGTGCAAAAACAAGGGTTACAGAGAAGCAAGAGAGAGGAGTTTTGCCTCCCTACATTTCTTTTCTTTCCATCTTCTGTCCTGAAAACAATTCTGCACCTCACCTCTTTTGCAGTTTTCATCTATATTACTTAGTCCTTCTATTAGTCCGTTCACATTGCCATTTTAATAATCTCCTAATATTTATCATTGCTGATAATTTTTCATCCAAATAACTCCCATTTGGAGTTAAAAACAAAGTAATTGATTCATCATGTACCCTACTGATTTCCTTATGCTTTCTTTGGCTCTCTTACCTCTAAAAACTGCCTCCAGCTGCAAGACTAGTATTGCAGGATTTCAAGGGGTACACATTAAGTGGTCAAGATTTGAAAAACATATCATAATTAAGAACTATTTTTATGATCTATGCATGTGAATGCATCTACAGATTGAAATCAAGCCTTAACTTTAACACTTTGTGATGCTGACTAAATTCTTTCGATTGGTTAATCAATCAACAAACATTAGCTACACACTGTAATGGTACTAGTATCATATAACAATAATCAGTACACAAAATTAAACAAGACAAGATATATACCTGAATTCTCTACAGAGAAGAGGATAAATAAGGCGTTTAAAGGAATCATTCAGTGAATTATATAAGATCTTCATTAACTCTGGCCTTGCAAAGCTACGTGGTCTCCACCTGCAAAACAGAAAAGCCCACACTAAAACTGATGCAACAATAAATAAGGCCATAAAAAGGCTCCCAAAAAGAAGGGAGATGGAATACAGAAGCGGGGAAAACCTTTATTGAAGCCAAAGTAACATAATCTGTGAGGAAAGGCTGTGGTATCTGAAAATTATTACTATGACATCTGGAGTTTTTATTTTAAAAATCCTAGTAACTATCTATGGTCAGATATAAAACAAGGAAAAAATTTCCTCTTCAGTAAAGGGTCTCCAAAGCATTATTAATAATGGCCAAAATCTTAAGATACAAGAAAGTCACCAAAAAATTATTACACCACTGCTACAGACTGAATTGTGTCCCTCCCCATATCCATACCTTGAAGATGGGGCTTTTGGGGGATAATCAGGTTTAGATGAAGTCATAAGGGTGGGGCTCTCAGGATGGAATCAGTGCCCTGATAAGAAGAGATAACAGAGGGCTTGCTCTTTCTCTCTCTTTCTCAACCATGTGAGGACACAGCAAGAATGCAGCTGTCTACAAGCCAAGGAGGGCAGCCCTCACCAGAAAATGAATCAGCTGGCATTTTGATCTTGGACTTCTCAGCCTCCAGAACTATGAGAAAATAAATTACTCCGGTTGAAGCCACATAGTCTGTGGTATTTTGTTATGTTAGTCCAAGTTAAGACAGCCACTGTATCCTTTTTTCCCCCTTTCTTTATCTCTTTCTGAGAGTTAAAGTAGACTGAGCAAAGCAGAAACTCTGTTTCAACCCTTGCCTCTTGCCATTTCTGAGAACTTACTCTATTGCTCAGGCCACAATGCTCTACCAGGCAACATCTGCATATGTAATGAGGACTATAAATGCCACAGAACCAATTGTTAATGAACACTGGGGAAAGAATAGAAGAGAAAATCACAAGCTAAAAGGACAAATGTAGCCTCACTGAAACGGTCCCTATAAACCTTATAAAATTAATCAGGAAAGAAAGGAGGGCTAGAAATGAAAATAAACCAAGCTGGCAGCACATTCAGCATTAATCATGAGGTCAGCTCACTCTCTGACCTGCTTCCTCATAGTTGTTTGGTGCCTACTGTCCTAGAATCACACAGACCCTGTTACTAGATTATAGCTCCCCTTAACTGCTCTATAGGTAACAACCTGAACATTATGAAATGTTAAGTTTTCCATTTGAATACTCTTTCAGGTCCTGTGTACCAATGAAACTACTGACATCAGCTACTATGAAAGACTCCCACCAAGAAGCTGACTCACCAAACAGTACAGTTTCCATATGCTGATGATTTTATCCCCCTTACCCCAACCAATCAAAGACCACAAATTTCCAGCTCCTTTCCCTCCACGATCCCCTTAAAAATCCTAGCCCAGGCTGGGCACAGTAACTCACATCTGTAATCCCAGAGTATGGCCTTCCAGAGGCCAAAGTGGGAGGATCACTTGGAGTTCAAGACTAGTCTGGGCAACATAGCCAGACCTTGTCTCTACAAAAAATAAAAATTTAGCTGGATGTGTTGGTGTGTGCCTGTAGTCCCTGCTACTTAGAAGGCTGAAGCAGGAGGATCACTTGAGCCCAGGAGGTTGAAGCTGTAGTAAGCCATGATGCACCACTGCACTACAGCTAAGCAACAGAGACCCTTTCTTAAAAACAAAAACAAAACAAACAAAAAAAACCCAGCCCAGAATTTTTTGGAAAAATGGATTTCAAGGCCTCCTCCCATCTCTTCACTCAGTGCCCTGCAATCATTAAACCCTTTTTTTTTTTTTTTTTTTTGAGACGGAGTCCTGCTCTGTCGCCCAGGCTGGAGTGCAGTGGCGCGATCCCGGCCCACTGCAACCTCCACCTCCTGGGTTCATGCCATTCTCCTGCCTCAGCCTCCTGAGTAGCTGGGACTACAGGCGCCACCATACCCGGCTAATTTTTTGTTTTTGTATTTTTAGTAGAGATGGGGTTTCACTGTATTAGCCAGGATGGTCTCGATCTCCTGACCTCGTGATCTGCCCATGTCAGCCTCCCAAAGTGCTGGGATTGCAGGCGTGAGCTACCTCGCCAGGCCCATTAAACTCTTTTCTCTGCTACAAACCCTGCTGTCTTGGTGTATTAGTCTGTTACGGCACAGTGGGCATATAAACCTGTTGGTCCTATGATACTATCCATTCTGTGTTTTCATCCATCTACAGCATCTCTGCCCTTGCCCTCTTGAATGAAAACCATTAACAAAATATTAATTAATATTACCTTAAGGGTACTCTCATCCCCTTTACTTATCTTAGGCTAGGAAATGAACTACATTTCACTGAACAAACATTTAAGCACTTACAATGTTTTATTCCAAAGATTACATAATAGCAACTAACTGAATCTCTTCCATAGAAAGTGTCATACAGTTTTTAAATTTTAGTGGAAGTGCTTTTAGGCAGGATATACATCCTTCCTTCCACCTAAATCCCTGCTGCTCCCTACTGTAACATTTGCCTGAAGGAATTAGGGATACAGAGGAGTAGGATTTCTCTACTCCATTGAAAAAAGGCATGAATTCAACAAACACACCTTTTTTCAATGAAACAAATATCTAAACAAATGTATGGCACAATAAATGTAAAAACAGAAATAAATGTTAAAGATATGAAGAGCTCAAAAGCAGAAGTGACAGCAAACAGCAGTATAATATACTAGTTAAAAGTATGATCTGTTCTGCTCTATGCTCTATTACTTTTTTTTTTTTTTTTTTTTTTTTTTTGAGACAGAGTCTCATCTCATTCTGTCACCCAGGCTGGAGTGCAGAGGCACAATCTTGGCTCATTGCAACCTCCACCTCCCAGGTTCAAGCCATTCTCCTGCCTCAGCCTCCCGAGTAGCTGGGACTACAGACGTGCGCCATCCCGCCCAGCTAATTTTTGTATTTTTAGCAGAGACAGGTTTTCACCACTTTGTGCAGGCCAGTCTCGAACTGCTGACCTCAAGTGATCTACCTGCTTTGGCCTCCCAAAGTGCTGGGATTATAGGCGTGACCCACCATGTCTGGCCTTGCTCTATGTTCATGGTGGATTTACTTAAGTATATCTGTGCTACTATTTCTTCATCAGTAAAATGGGAGTAATAATAGTCTACTTCATTGAATTGTTGTGAGTTAACATAAGCAAGGGACTTATAATGGTGCCTAATACATTCTATGTAAGTTTTTGCTGCTGCTGCTGCTGCTGTTATTATTAATATGGGGAATCCAATGTCAAGAAAGACTTCCCAAAAGAAACATCTGAGATAGGTTTTTTTAATGAATTGTAGTTTGCCAAGCAAGACAAAAGAATAAGGGCATTCTGGGAAGAAATTATAGCATATGTAAAAGCTTAGAGGCATGAAAAAGCACGGTAAATTGAAGTAACTATAAGGTTAGCGCTTCTAGGAAATAAAGTGGCAAGATCAACAGGAGGAAAGATGAGGGTAGAAAATGTGGCAGTGGCTGGATCATAAAGGGTCTTATACACAAAGCTATGGAGCCTGACGAGGTAGGAGAGAGAACATAGTCCTGAATCATGCAACAGTATGCTAGACAGATAGTCCTTAGAGGTAGGAAGACCCTAACAGAGGGATTTGTTTTAATGTATGTATCTGATTTGTCTCCTAAGGTGTTGCCCTTTAAGCCACTGCTTGCAGGAAAAAGCCAGAAATCTTAAATATCACCTACCCATACCCTCTCAAACCCCCAGTAGTCTTCTTCAAGTCTCAAGATCCTCCCTTGGCTTGGACTGCTCTCCTCCCCTTCCTGGAACAGAGAGCTATGGGTCTATTTAATACTTGAGGATGCCTCAATCATGCCCATTCAGTTGAACTTTAGACCACTAGACCCAGCCCTGAAAGAGAACAGCTACATTCATTTCCTACATTATAGAAACTCCTTTTTGCTCCTTACACCAAAACAATTCCTGCCCTTCACCGGCTTCCTGGGATTTATTGAAGGCACTTAGCATACTAAGGAACCTGAAATAGTATAGTAAATTCACAAACCCTGTTGCTTAAATCTTTAAACTTAAAGAAAATATGATGGGTTTGCCTTACAGGAAGTCATCTCAAAACTTGATTCTTCCTCTAATTCAACAGTTAAATACATCTGAATAAAACTAAGGAGGACTCACTTAAACCAAATATACATTGCAAAACACATGCTATGTATGTTGCATACAATGAAGCACAAAACTGAGGTGAGGGATCACAAACTCCTCCAAAGAAATATTCTCCACTTTGGCAAAGAAATATGCTCTCCCAACTTCATATATATAAGATAAAGACAGGCTCTCTCCACTGGGCTTTCTTTTTTCCACATTTAAAGTAGAGACAGTTTCCCTTAAACCTACTACATGAAAAACAGCAGCACAATTTTAGGGAGAATAAAAATTAACTTATCAAGTCAAAGACACAAAAATCTGCAAACTCAAAAGACAAGTTCTGAAGCCAGGTGTGGTGGTGCATGCCTGCAGTCCCAGCTAATTTGAAGGCTGAGGCAGAAGGATTGTTTAAATCCAGGAGTTTGAGACCAGCCTGAGCAACATAGTGAGATAATGTCTCTAAAAAGAAGTTTTCTTAATTTTTTAAAAAAAATTTCCTTAGATACGTTTTTATTTAGAGAGCAAATGCAGAAACTTAAATTACTGAGGTTCTCACAAACACAGCAACTATTTCAGCATCTAAAAAGCTTAGAAATCCTCTTCATACTTATCTTGTACTAGTAACATACAATTCCAAATGAGGAATTGTTCATTTGCTGAATCTGGACCTAAATATTAGTTTTAATACTAATACATTAGCTTTAAATTATTCCTTGTTATGCTAATTAACTTATGTAATGACAAGACTGCCATTTAAATCACTATTTGCCCTATTACATAGTTCTTAATATATTTATAGTGTGATAGTAACTATATCATCTACCTTATTGTTCAAGCCACACAATTATTTTTTTTTTTTTTTTTTTTTTTGAGATGGAGTTTCACTCTTGTCACCCAGGCTGGAGTGCAATGGCGCAATCTCGGCTCACTGCAACCTCCACCTCCTGGGTTCAAGCAATTCTCCTGCCTCAGCCTCCCAAGTAGCTGGGGTTACACGCATGCACCACCATGCCTGGTTAATTTTTGTATTTTGTGTAGAGACAGGGTTTCGCCATGTTGGTCAGGTTGGTCTCAAAGTCTTGAACTCCTGATCTCAGGTGATCCTCTCACCTTGGTCTCCCAAAGTGCTGGGATTACAGGCGTGAGCCACCACGCCCAGCCGCCACACAAATTTCATGCTTCACTTCACCTCTCCCTAACCAATCCACCCACCATTTAATCAGATACCTTGTCCTGCCCCTGTCTACCTCCTAAATATTGCCCAAATCTATCTACTTATTCCCTATTGCTACCACCCTAGTCTAAGCTACCATAATCTCTTGTGCCATATCTACTCTTGATTCCTTCCAAATAATTATCTACACTGTGGCCTGAGTGATCTTAAAATGCAATCTGATCATCACACTCCTGTATTTAAAATCCTTATTGGCTTCCCACCATCCTTAAAAGAAAAAAATCTTTAGCATACCTGAAAGCTATGTATGATCTAACCTGTGTCAACATCTCAATCTTCATTCCATGTCACTTCTCTTCCTTCTCCTTCTATCTCCAACCTACCTAGCTGTCAAGTCCACACTACTCAGGGCTCTGTTACAAGCACTTTTCTTCTTCTTACTACACTTTTCCTTCATAATCTCAACATACTCGTAATGATTTTCCCAGTGTTGTTCTCATTAAACTACGCTGTCATCATGGATAAGCAGTATATCTGTCTAATTTACAGGGGAATCTCCAAAATCTAGCACATAACTTGAATGGATAAGTACATACAGAAGAGGGTGAAGAAATAGGGAAAAAGAGAGTAAAAAAAGGAACTAGAAGATTCATCAAGTAAGCATTTCTAGTCATTCACATGTGCTTAAAGGAAAAAAAAAAGTTCTTTTGAGAATAATTTTTTAGGTCCTAGAAAAGTGTTTCAGCTCTTGGAATTATCTAAATGAAGAAAAAGTTTCAGGCCGGGCATGGTGGTTCATGCCTGGGGTGGTTCATCCCAGTACTTTGGGAGGCGGAAGTTGGTGGATCACTTGAGTTCAGGAGTTTGAGAACAGCCTGGGAAATATGGCAAAACCCCTGTCTCTACAAGAAAGAAAAATTTAGCTGGGTGTGGTGGTGCGCACCTGTAGTCCCAGCTACTCAGGAGGCTCAGGTGAGAGGACAGCTTGAAACTGGGAAGTCAAGGCTGCAGTGAGCCAAGATCATGCCACTGCACTCCAGCATGAGTGACAGACAGAGTGAGACCCTGTCTCAAAAAAGAAAAGAAAAAAAAGAAAAAGAAAAACTTCCAAACCTGACTGAAAATTATATTACTATGCCATAATGATGTAACATGTTACATTGTAGGCTAAATAATATTACAAATTTTTCAATTGGAGAACTAAATAAAATATAAATAAGCCATGGAAAAATAAATCACTGTAAAAAAATTCCTTGACATTTACTTAGTCTAAAGATAATAAATAGGTTAAAAGCATATTTTTTCTTTAACTACTGAGGACTGACTCTGATACTGAGTATTATGAATATTTACAGAAAAATAAGCCAGAAATTGTCTTTGTGATTTACTAAAACATTTCTAAAAAGAATTAGCACAATAATCCCACTACTTTGTAATAACAGATACCATCAAAGGCCTGTTCTTCACCAGACATTGTGCTATACAGTTACGTAGATTATCATTTAATTCTCTCAAATCTACAAGTAAAGTATTACCATTTTAAGGATAGACAAAACTGAGAAAGAAATTAAGTAGCATGCCCATAGGTGCAGAGGTAGAAAGTAATATAACTGGAATTCAAACTCAAATATATCTACTTCTTAGGAGTTTCCTCTATGAAACTATCTTAGAGTTTTGTCATATCTTAAATTATCTAATTTCCTAATTTTTTAAATCTAGCATTTCTTTTAGGCATACATTTCCTCTTTCCTTTCATTGGAATTTATTTGCTTATTTATAAAGGAAATAAGCATTCATAAAAAATGACAACTAGCCAGGCATGGTGGGTCACGCCTGTCACGCCAGCATTTTGGGAGGCTCAGATAGAAGGACCGCTTGAGCCCAGGAGTTCAAGACCAGCCTGGGCAACATGGCAAGACCTCATCTCTTAAATAAAAAAAAAAAAAAAAGTTTAGCCAGCGGTATGCACCTATGGTCCCAGCTACACAGGAGACTAAAGTGGGAGAATCACTGGAGTCTGGGAGATTGAGGCTGTAGTGAGCTATGATAGCACCTGTGTGCTCCAGCCTAGGCAACAGAGTGAGACCCTGTCTCTCAAAAAAAGAAAAAGAAAAGAAACTATATAGAAAAATATACACAGTAATATAAAGACACTTATTTGCCACTAGTGAAATCATACTATAAATAAATGCTAATTGTAAATTGTCTTTTTAACTTAGTAAGACATGTTCATATTTCAACTTCAGCTCTATTTCCACTTTTTCAAAATGGCTGCACAGAATTCCACCATATGGATATAACATAATTGGCTTAAGCAATTTACCTATTGATTAACATTTAGACTGTTGTTTTACTTAATGGTTGCTTAGTTAGTAGTATTTGGTTGTTAAGCAAGTTGATCCTTCATTGCTTTTAATGAATTAACAAAACAGTTGTGTTGAATGAGATAACTGATTTCCAAAATCCATGATACTTATTTTCAAAGAACAAGTCATCTAACTTTTTAAGTATCATTCCTAGCAATCTCTTTATCCTAAAGTTACACAGAACTAGCTGGTGATGAACTTTATCAAAATTTACATCTCCTAGCTGCTAGGAAGCCACTTTACTTACCTCTTTGTATCAGTTTTCTCACTGGCTAAGTGGTGGCTACAAAATCTGCTCTACCAACTAAATAGATTTTTGTGAGGATCAATTACACTCTGAAAAATTAAAACTAAAAGTAAAAAGTATTATACAAACATGGTGCTATTTTAAAAGGCTCCCTTAACAAATAAAAAGGGTAATAAAAAATTACATAAGCTTAGACATTTCCTTAAAATATCTAATAAATTTAATGTTTCTTTCAATCATCCTTAACATGCAACATTTATCCCCACATACAGAATGCTTATTTATATTGTAATATCCAATAAGTTAATTTTTGTTTCCATCATCCTTAAAGAGCTAAACACTTCAGATATGATACATAGAGCATATTTTTGTTAGTTTATTTTTGCAAGGGAAAAGATGATCTTACAAAAGTTTCAAATAGTACAGAAAAGTAATGAAGTAAAACAGTTCTTCTCCACAGAGATAATCACTATCAAAAATTCCTCACACACCCTCCTGGATATTCTCTGTTTAAATATGCATGACACACATACTTATTTTATTATTTTTTTTAATTCAAAAAGGACACTACATACCTTGTCTGTTATTGGTGGGTTTTTTGTTTGTTTGTTTGTTTTCTTGAGATGGAGTCTTGCTCTGTCGCCCAGGCTGGAGTGCAGTGGTGTGATCTCGGCTCACTGCAACCTCAGCCTCTTGGGTTCAAGCAATTCTCTGCCTCAGCCTCCTAAGTAGCGGGGATTACAGGTGTGCACCACCATGCCCAGCTAATTTTTTGTTTTTGTATTTTCAGTAGAGACAGGGTTTCACCATCTTGGCCAGGCTCATATTGAACTCCTGACCTCGCGATCCACCCCCCTCAGCCTCCGAAAGTGCTGGGATTACAGGCGTGAGCCACCGCGCCCGGCCTGTCACTGGCTTTTTAAAAATGTTCACGTAATAGACATCTTTACATATCAGTACATATAGATATCGGTATCATATTTTAGAAAAGAAACAAAGAAAATTCTGTAAATATCTGTAAACAGACCTGTTTTGGATGCACCACCTACAGAATTCATCCTTCACTCCATCAGAAATATTGACCTTAACCGTCAGTACCTTCAAATTTTCTCCACGGTTAATTGCCAGAATCTGAGTGCAAACATAAGGCAAAGACTAATAATCCACAAAATATATGAAACAAATCAGGCGACTATGTAGCTGACAGCTATATGAATTTTTTACTCGTTTATTAAACAAGAATACATTTTAAAATAATCATTTACTTACACTTTTTTCAAGTAACATACCTCCCACATAAGGAAAACCCTAACATGCTCTTAGAAAATAAAATGCAGATACAAAGCCTATCTAACACATTTACAAGAAGAGACTTTGATGATCTAAAAATCTCATTTCAGATTCTACTAATTGAAAATTTTTGATTATCTGGAGTTGGAAGGGTATACTTTTTATAATTTGAAAAGATAACCTGTGCTAAGATAAATACAAACATGTAAAATCCTAGGTGCAATATTTAGTAGCTACAAATTGTTACCATCCATTGAGCATTACTAATTGTAGAGCCTATCTAAGCACTTTAAATATATTATCTCAAGTAATCCTTAGAGTCACCAGTAATGTGTGTATTATCTTCACTTTATATAATAATTTTTCTGAAACTAACTTGTTGCAAATCACAAAGCTAGCAAGTAGCAAAAAAAGAATTTAAACTTCAGATCAATCTGTCCATGCTCTTAATTAAAATATTAAAAGAACGACTGTCTTAAAACACATTAAAAACACTCCTTAAAGTATAAACAAAACCAAAACAAGCAGAAGAAAATAATAAATAATAGGGTAAAAATAAAATAGAGAATAGAAAAGCAATAAATATCAACAAAACCATAAGTTGGTTCTTTGAAGATATCAACAAAATTAACAGACCTTTCGCTAGACTAATCAAGAAAAACAACAGGAAACACTCAAACACCAAGATCAGGAACAAAAGAGAGGCCACTACTAAGGACCTTATAGAAATAAAAAAGATTATAAGAGATACCATGAGCAACTGTATGACAAATTAGATAACTAAGATAAAATGGACAAATTCCTAAAAGATACAAACTACCAAAAACAAACCAAAAAGAAACAGAAAATCTGAACACACCTATAAAAAGTATGGACACTGAATTAGTAATTTGAAAATTTCCCACAAATAAATGTCCAGGCCCAGATGGCACCACCATTGAATTCTACCAAACATTCTAAAAAGAATCAATATCCATTCTTCACAAACTTTCCAAAAGATATTAGAGAAGGAAAAACTTCACATATATTTCTATGAGGCCAGTATTACTCTGATACAAAAACCAGACAAGACTTCACAAGAAAACTACAAACCAATATCTCTTATGAATATAGATGTAAAAATCCTCAATAAAGTAATAGCAAACCACATCCAGAAATATATAAGAAGGATTATACACCAAGATCAACTAGAATCAATTCCAGGAATGCCCGGTTGATTTAACATCTAAAAAATCAATTAACCTAACACATTATATCAATAGAATAAATAACAAAAATCCTATGATCATCTCAATAGATGTGGAAAAACATCTGACAAAATCAGGTAGCCCTTCATGATAAAAAACACTCAAAAAACTTGGAAATATAAGGAAAGTTCTTTAATATGAGAAAGGGCTTGTGCACAGAAATCTCACAGCTAACATCATATTTACTGGTCAAAGACCAGGAACAAGACAAGCGTGTCCACTCTCACAACATTGTACTGAAGGTTCTAGCCAGGGAAAAGAAGGGAGGCCATCTATATTGGAAAGGAAGATGTAAAACTTTCTCTATTTGCAGCTAACATGATCTTATATATAGAAAATTCTAAGCAATCCACTACAAAACTATTAGAACTAATAAAGAGTTCAGCAAAGTTGCAGAACACAAGCTCAACAAATAAAATTAATTTATACATACTAGCAATAAACATTCTGAAAATAATTTTTTTTAATTCCATTTATGATACCACCAAAAGGAATAAAATACTTAGGAATAAATTTAACAAAAAAAGTTCACAACTTACACGGTTGACCTTTGAACAATACAGGTTTAAACTGCATGTGTTGACTTACACGTGGATTTTTTTCAACCAAACAGGGATTGAAAATACAGTAATTGCAGGATCTGAAACCCACGCATAAGGAGAGCTGATTTTTCATATACATGGGTTCTGCAGGGCCAACTCTGGGACTTGCATATACATAGATTTGGGTATATGCAGGGATCCTGGAATCAATCTCCTGTATATACCAAGGAACAACTGTACTATGAAAACTACAAAACATTGTTGAAAGAAATTAAAGAAGATCTAAATAAATACCCATGAACATCCCATGTTCAGGGATCAGAGGGCCTAATATTGCTAAGATGGCAACACTCCCCAAGTTGATTTACAAATTCAGTGAAATCCCTATCAAATCCCAATTGGCATGTTTTGTGGAAACTGGTGAACTAATTTTAAAACACATATAGTAATTCAAAGGACTGAGAATAGCCAAGTCAATTTTTAAAAATCAAAATAAACTTGGAAGATTCCCACTTCCCAATTTCAAAACTGACTACAAAGCCACAGTTATCAAGACAGTGGGGACTGGCATAAGGATAGACATACAATGGAATAGAATCGGAGTCCAGAAATAAACTTATACATATAGTGTCAACTGATTTTCAACAAGGGTACCAAGATAATTCAATGAAGAAAATCCAATCTTTTCAATAAATCATGAATAACTAGAACTCACCACATGCAAAAGAACAAAAGTGGACGGACCCCTACTTCACGCTATACATAAAAATTAACTCAAAATTGATCTTAGACCTTAATACAAGAACTAAAACTATAAAATTTCCATTAAAAAAGGAGAAAATTTTTATGACCTCAAGTCATAAAGCCTTCTTAGATATAACACCAAAAGTGTAATCAATAACAAAAAACTAGATTGAACTTCAACAAATTTTAGTTTTTGTGCCTCAAAGAATAGTATCAAGAAAGTGAAAAGAAAATGCACGGCATGGGACAAAAATTTTTGCAAATCATATGTCACATAAGGGTATCTAGAATATATTTAAAACTCCTACAGCTCAACAATAAGGAGACAAAACCCAATTTATTCATTTATTTATTTTCTTAAGAGATGGGGTTTCACCATGTTGGCCAGGCTGGTCTCGAACTCCTGACCTCAGGCGATCCGCCTGCCTCAACCTCCCAAAGTGCTTGGATTATAGGCGTGAGCCATCGCGCCTGGCCACAACCCAATTTAAAATGTACAAAAGATCTGAAGAGGTATTTGTTCAAAAATTATATACAAATGACTGATAAGTACATGAATAGATGCTCAGCATCATTAGAGAAATGCAAATCAAAACACAAAAAGATGGACAATAAATGTTGGGAGGGATGTAGAGAAATCGGAACCTTCACAAACCGCTGGTGAGAATGTAAAAATGGCATAGCCACTCTGGAAAATATGGCAGTTCCTCAAAAGGTTAAATGTAAAGCTACCATATAACACAGCAATTATACTCCTAGGTATATATCCAAGAGAAATAAAAACATATGTCCACACAAAAACTTAGACACGAATGTTCATAGCATTATTCATAATATCCAAAAAGTAGAAACAACCAAACTATTCACTGACTGATGAATGGATAAGTAAAATGTGGAGAATCCATATAATGTAATATTACGTAGCAATAAAAAGGAAAGGCATACTAATACATACCATAACAGACAAACTCTGAAACCATTATGCTAAGTGAAAGAAACCAGCGGCAAAAGTCTGCATATTGTATGATTCCTTTATATGAAATGACCAGAACAGACAAATCTATAGAGATAGAAAGTTGGCTGCCTAGAGCTTGATGCAAGGAAATATTTGGGAGAAAAATGTCCTAAAATTGCTTGTGGTAATGGTGACACAACTGAGTGAATTTACGAAAAACCATTGAACTTACAAAGTTCTAATGGTTGCATTAAATGCAATATGAATTTTACTTCAATAAACCTATTAGAAAATTAAAACACTCTTTTCTTAAAGCACTCTTTAATACCAATTATTAAGATGATAAATAGTAACACAAATTAACCAAATAATTTAATCAAGTTAACAGCCTCCCTTAAATATCTGCTAGTCTGTAACTATATATTTATGTATATTATATATTAAAAATTAAACAACATCACTTCAACATATATTCAGATTTCTCACTAATTCTTAATGGCTTTCTTCCAATTACTCTTAATGAATGGGATTTTAATAAACTAAGTTCTCCCTTTACAGGACACAAACTGATATTTTAACAATTTTAGCACATTTCCATGAGGATCTCTAACAAAAACTTAGACTTCCTATCTGTGGTGAAACAAGCTTAGAATAATTCAACTTAATATTACCACAAAATAATTCTACCACGAAAATTTCTCAATTTGTGCTTCATGTTGAAAAGAATGTCAAAAGATAAAACGCGTATTTTTTTGTAACTTTAATTTAAATTTTAAAAATATTGAGTAAAATTTTAAATATCAAACAAATTGTCAGAGTTTTAAAAAAATTATATAGGGGACTTTTTTCTTTTCTTATATACTTGAGAAATTTCTAAAGTAAACATCAGCAGAAATAGAACAATCACTTAGAAATAAATGTTTCGGCTGGGTATGGGGGCTCATGCTCATAATCCCAGCACTTTGAGAGGCCAAAGCAGGAGGACTGGTTGAGCTCAGGAGTTCAAGATGAGCCTGGGCAACATGGCGAAACCCCAACTCTCAAAAAATACAAAAATCAGCCAGGTGTGCTTGTGCATGCCCATAGTCCCAGCTCCTCAGGAGGCTGAAGTGGGAGAATGCCTTCAGCCCGCAAGGCGAAACTTGCAGTGAGGTGGGATTCTGCCACTGCACTCCAGCCTGGGTGAAAGAGCAAGATACTGTCTAAGAAAAAAAAAAAAAAGTAAGCTTACATAAAACAATATATTCAATAATACTGCACAGAACTATCTATAAAGAAATAAATTGTGAATACAAAATAAACTTCAGTTTGAGCTCAGCAGAGACTTCCGTATTTGCTATAGGCTGTGCCAGCTTAGTAAACAGAAGTTCTTCATACAAGAAATTTTCTCTAATAAATTAAGTAGAGTACAACAATATAGAGGAGAGTTATTTAATTCCGATTTACATAAGTATACCATAATATCACAATACATTATTGGAGGTTTTTTGCTCTTTTTCACCATACCTAGTAATGTAATACGTCAAACTTACAAAAAATCCTGACACACAGGAAGACCCATGGTGGAGAAGGGAATAAGGTAACAGAAATAATAAAGCTTGGGACAGAAACTGAAATTGAAAGTGAGTAGTGGGTTAAAGCGGAATTACTGCAGATGGTGACATTGAACAGGAAATAGGTAGTTAAGACACAGGAAATTGCACGTCAGTAAAAAGACACACCAATAAAGATAAGGAACAGAAAGTCCCATGAGAGAATGTGAAGACTGAGTTACAAATTCATGTGGTAGAAAAGATCACACTAAGGACCAATTTGAAAAAGAAAGAAAAAAAGATGCAGCTGGAAGAATTTACTAAGCAGCTATTAACGGCTATTCCCACAGTACTTGGAGAGAGTTCCACAGTAATTTTCCTTCACCACACTGTCTTTCATCATTTGCATTCATTTCTGTGTTCTGTGATACTGTGCTGGGGTTATCTACATAAAGGCTGAAAAGTAAGGTTCAGATTTAGGACATGAGGTCTCAGCACTATAGGAATTGGGAAGCTGTTTTTGTAACCTAGCATATCATCACTCCGGCCTGTACATGATAAACTAAAAAGTTCGTAAAACAGCAGTGCTGTTTTTCAAAACTGACATTTCCAAAATGCTCTGCTTTCCCAGGCCTGAATACTGTCACACCCAGAAGCCTGTGTCAATCATAATCTTAAATTCAGTCACTAACTCAGAATGCCACATTTGCTACACACACTAGTTAAAATGCAGAGCCCAATAAAATATTTTCAAGCAGAAATTAGAAGGCTAGGTTTTAACAGAATAAAAGCATTAATGTTTTTCCAAAGTTGCAATAAAATTAAATCAACATAAAAGGTGGACAAAATAAGACAGAAAAACTACTTCTGCAAAAGGAATGTTAGTATACTTAGTCACTGGTACTATTAAAAATTACTTTTCATTATGTTATACCTGTATCAGTAGACTATAATAACTACGTATGTAAAATTTCACTGTACTTTCTTTCAAAATATTGAAAGTATGTACTTCACCTGATGTGGTAAATATAGTGTACACAAAAGTAAAATTGACAATTTTAGATATAATAGTGAAACATTTCAAATCTTTAAATGGGCAAGGGCCATGTTACCTCTACACCCTAAACAGGACCCAACATAAAATAACCTTTCAGGAAATACTTGTGGGATAATTCACACTCTTCATGTCTTGTTACAACAAAACAAAAATTTTTCACATCTGTGTCATCTTAAATGAAAAACAATTACTTTTTTATTTTTTTAAGAGGCAGGGTCCCACTGTTGACCAGGCTGGAATGCAGTGGCTATTCACAGGAGCAATCCCACTACTAATCAGCACAGTTTTGACCTGCTCCTTTTCTGACCTGGGCCAGTTCACCCCTCCTTAGGCAACCTGCTGGTCTCCCGTTCCTGTGGGGTCACCATATTGATACTAAACTCAATGTGAACACCCAATCGGCATAGCGCACTTCAGCCCAGAAATCCTAGACTCAAGCAATCCTCCTGCCTCAGGGTCCTGAGTAGCTGGGACTACAGGCATGTGCCACCATGCAAAACAATTACATTCTTAATGATGAAAATTAAGTATTACATGAAAGGTTAGGAATACTAGTTTTTTTTCTATTATTCTCTCTTTATAGCAGTAAAATGCAGATAGGAAGAAAAATAAATTTTAAAATTATTTATTGAGAAATTCCGCGTTTGAAAAACACTGGCAGTTTCCTAATTTCAAATCTCCCCCTTCCTTTCTCAAAAAACTATAAAACCAATAAAGAAAATAAATAAAACACAACATAGGACCCACCTCTTTGCATTTCTAGGAGACAGAGAATTATACTGGCATCAGATTTCTCAAATATAACATACAAAGGAAGCCAACAGCAGAGCAACATATTCAAGAAACTTAAGTAAAGAAAATGCAAACAAAAGTGATTATACCATGCCAAGCTATCCTTCAAGTGTTAAGGCCATAGAAAACAATTTTGAATGTGTAAGAACTCAGAGAATATTGTACACATATACCTTTCTTCAGACATTCACTAGAGCAGAAGTTAGCAAACTATGGCCCATGGGTCAAATCCAGCCTGCCACCTGTTTTTGTGAATAAAATTTTGTTGAAACACAACCATGCTCATTCATTATGCATTGTCTATGACTGATTTTGTGTTACACAGCAGTTGCGTAGTTGCAACAAAAGCCATCTGGCTCACAAAACCTTAAATATTTGTTCACTGGACCTTTACAGAAAAAGTTTACCAACTGTATACTAGACTACAGAATAAGTTTCATTCACTCTAAAGGCTTTGGAAAGCTCTGGCAAAAGGACCAAGGGCAAGCATTTAATATAATTGTAGGGCTGAGATTAAAACAAGAGTAGGGAGAGTGGGGTCAATTTCCTTTAAGAAAGCACAGGTTGCAAGGCAATCCTAATACCAAAGCAGACTTCAGGATAAAAAGCATTAAACAAGGTAATAAAGAAAACTTTATATAACGTTAAAAGCCACACTCCAGCTCTGGAATAGAATGAGGAGTGTGCGATACTGTATTTTAAAGACGTTGTTAGGAGTGACATCACTGAAAATTGTGGAGTAGGGAACTCTAAATTCCATCCCTCCACAAAGGTAACTGGTAAGGTAGCAAAAACTGTCAGAATTAACTTTTTCGCAACTATGGAATCTAATAAAAATTTTATAACAACGAAAGAAACACAGAAAGAAGTTGCAGAATTTCTATAAGAGAGCACTTTTAACGTACCCCAGTCTCCAGCTCAGCAGTGGCCTCTGAAGATGACAGCCCACGTTCCTAGGGCAGGTTGCAGAAGGAGCAATATGGACCTTATTCTCAAATAACTATGGTTGTGTGTTTTGATGTCTGGTGTGTCCCTGAGGAACTGACTCAAGGGCTTGTCTTTATTTCACATGCCTTGGAACTTACTCAGGACAGAAGAAGCCTCCCAGGTGGCCTTTGTCAAAAGTACTTAAAGGCAAATATATTAGCCCCAGCCATGAGGGGTAAGGGATAATACAGGAGCAACTAACACAGAGAACAAAAAACCTGTGAAAAAATAAACTTGGAAATGAGATATTTGAGGGAAAAGGGGCTTTTTAAAATTCCTGGGCATGCTGAGGGCTAGGTGTATGCTCTGAAAAGATCTGAGGGAACCTTAAGCTTTCACCTCTAGATGAACTTTGGGCTCCATGCAAACAGGAAGAAAAGGCTACGGCAGAGCTGTTAATGGCCTCACTAAGTGTTGAAGGAGTGCCCCAACAAAGTGCCAATCTGCAAAGTCTGGGAGAGTTTGGGTTTTTTTCTTTTAGGGGATTTTTTTCTTTTAGGGTTTATTTTGTTTTTGTTTTTGGCTCCAGGCATTTAGGGGAATCTCTGTTAAATAACTAGATGGTTACTAAGCTAACAAGGGAGACCTCAGTGGCCACACATAGCAAACAAAATTTACAAAAATACTTAGAAAAGTCACTAGAGCAAACCAACCCCAAAACAAGCAGCAACAACAAACAGGGGAGGGGAGAGAATCTGATTTCCAGAGTTACCAAGTTATAAAATACAACATATCCAGACTTTACCAAAAAAAAAAAAAAAAAAAAAAAAACTGTCCATGAGGAAGCTTAGACATTGACCTTACAAAACAAAGATTTTAAATTAACTCTATTCAATATGCTGAATTCAAGAAAATCATGAACAGAGACCTAAAGAAAGCCAGGAGAATGATCTTTCAACCATATAGAAAAGTAAGAGTTAGAAATTATAAAAAAGAACAAAATAGAAATTACGGAGCTGAAAAGTACAATGACTGAAATAAAAATGTGCCAGGGGTTCAACAGCAAATTTGAATACAAAGAATAAATCAACAAGCCTGAAGATAGGTCAAATGGGAATATACAGTCAGAGAAAAAAGAAAAAAATAAAGAAAAGAAAGCAACAGAGGCTGAGACCTGTGAGACACTATCAATCATACTCTCTACATATAATGGGAGACCCAGGAGAGGAGAGAAAGGCGCAGAAAGGATATTTTTTAAAATTATTATGAAGAATTTCTTAAGTTTGATGAAAAACATTAATCTACACGTCTAAGAATCACAATAAACTCCAAGTAGGATAAACTCAGAAAGACCCATGACAAGACACATTATAATCAAACTGTCAAAAGATAAAGACAGAGAATCCTGAATGCAGCAAGAGAGAAGAGACTTGTCATGAATAAGGCATCGTAAGATTAACAGCTGATTCCTCATAAAAAACTATGGAGGCCATACCATAAGAGTGGATGGTATATTTAGTATTAAAAGGGAAAAATTAAAAACCATCAACCAAGAATTCTATATTTTAAAAACTCTCTATAAAAAAATGAATGAAATGTTTAATGGGCATAGAGTTTCAGTTTTGCATGATAAAAAAATTGCTGGAGATTGGTGGCACAACAATATGACTATGCTTCCCATTACTGAACTGTATGCTTAAAAATGGTTATGATGGTACATTTTATGTTATGTTCATCTTACCACAATTAAACATAAATTTTTTAAAAAAGGAGAAATTAAGATTTTCCAGAAAAACAAAAACTAGGAAGTTTGTCACTAGTAGACCTGCCTTACATGAAATATTACAGGAAGTGCTTCAGACTGGAATGAAAGGGCACTAGATAGTAACTTGAAGCCATACAAAGAAATAAAGAACACTGATAAATGTCATGATATATGTAAATATAAACGCCAGTGTTACTGTATTTTTGGTTTTTATCTCCTTTTTGCCCTATGTAATTTAAAAGCCACATTCCACAATGTAGATATAGCCTACGACTACACTTAGGAAAAAAAATTAGTAAACTGAAAAATGAAATTAAAACACTGAGATACAATGACTGATTTATATAAGTAAATGAGACCTCTCACACTTTATTCTAAATCAGATATCTCATATTTGTATTTCACAGGGAAGAGATCCAGAATTGAGCTCAAATATAAGGATACTGGGAAGCAGAGTCTAACAAAAAGATCACCAGCCAAAAAGTCAAGATACCTAAAATGTTATATTGTCAGCTCTGCTAATAATTCTCAATGTCACTTGTTAACTTCTCCGGGTCATTACTTCCCAATTTGTGAAGCGGCAAGGATATGACAATATTATAAGAATTTATATAAAGAAAAAAGAAAACAGTTGACATAAAATTATTTAAATTCTTAGTAAAGTAGCAGGCAAATCCAAAATATTATCATTATTACGAAATCAGCATGCACATGCAGTTTCTTTATTTACCTGATGATGGTGAATGTTTCTTATGTTGCAGGAAAAATGCTGGTAGAGCAGAAACTTATCAACATCTTTCTCATTTACCTTTTTTGAGGATACTTTTGCCAGAGATGACTGGATACAAACATGTCTCTTCTGGCACCTGTTCAGATACACAAGTGTTCAAAAAACAAGCAGTTATTAATTTGTGCTTTAGTAAAGAATATATAGAAATAAGGATAGCAAAAAAAGTTAAGCCATTACCAAGTGAGTTTTTTTAATGATGCCCAGCTATGAAATTGATATTACTACCCCATCAAAAGGACTCTTTGCCTATTCATACTAGCATAGTCCTCCAGATCTATTTATATATCTACTCAATCTTCCCATAAAATGCCTAAATGAATTCAGAAACCATCTGCAATTATGCAAAAGATCAAAACTATCTATAGAAATCAAACCAATAGCTCTGATCTAAATATCAGACTTTTCTAATCACTAAGACAGTCACAGTCAATTAAAAACTTAAAAAAAGAGAAACAAAAGGATGTGTCAGGACAGCTTCCAATAACAATTTATAATACTGAACCAAATTTAAGTGGCATAATTACTTATAAAAACACATTTTAAAACCTGAGCAATTATTTTGCTTCAACTCATTCCTGCTGGAGCCACTGAGAAAATACAAAAGTTCTTTCTAGCAACAGTAGTCAACTAGGTCATCTCCTCCTTTCCTCTCCTCTGCACAGCTCAAACAGCTAGATATGTGGAGGGAGAGAGAGGAAGAACAAACCTCTAGCAGAAACCTGTCTTCTGATACACAGCAGAAAAAGAACAAAATAATACAAAAATAGGGTTTTTAATTAATGTGTTTTTTTAATGATGCATAAAATCCATAAGCCCAAGAAGGCTCTAGGTCAAAGATCTTTAATGTCTGATAAATTGGGACTGTGATGCCATAGATAAGCTGCTCTCCTCAACAGCTAAAAATCATTTGGAGGTCAGTACTTTTATTCATATCTGATATTACACATTCTCAAGTAAAGCCAATCACTGGTAAACACCAGAAACGAGATACTATAAAATAAGCATACATCACAATCAACATGTTTAAAAAGCAATGCCACTCTAAAGGACATGAATCTCTCTTCGTATATATTGTGTAAGGCAATGGTTTTTAAACTCATCAGGCCCCTCCACTGAGATGCCTCAGTGTAAGGAGGGTGAGTAGGCAGAGTTCCAGGCTCCCTGTCCAGAATTCAATTAAAACAACTTTACTTTTATCTGTTTTATATATTTGGGCTCTGTTGTTTGAACAAAGAGTTTTGCTACTTTAAAAAAAAGTCTGAAAACAAAGTTTTTAATGAACATTGGTATTAGCACTAACCGTGTGACCCTTAACAGCATGAGTCCATAAAGCAGAAAACTCCATAAAAGAGATACTCACAAGTTCCGAATGAAGTCAAGCGTGTCTTTGTCTTTAGCAATCATATCTGCTAAAATATGCTGCACTCCTATTTCAATATCCTGAAGCGTTGAAAGCCCTTTAGGAGAAGGGTAAAAAGGAAAACAAAAACAAAAAGTATACGATTGGTTTTAAATTCTATAACTAAATCACAGTAAATTAATTCCAGTCAAAATAAAACCTTAAGTTGACAGTCTTAAGACAGAAAGATATTGCAGCAGTATACTAGCTTCCCTTTGTAACAAAAACAAGTCTCCAAAAGCAATAATACAGACATAATACATAATATACTGCCCAGTGGTAAAAATGCATCTCTGGAGCCAGCTGCCTTGTCGAATCCTGGTTCTACCATTTGCCAGTTGTGAGACACTGGGCAACCTACTTGACTCCTCTGTACCTCAGTTTCCTATAAAAATGGAATCATAACAGTACCTCCTTTATGAAGTGATTACAAATACTAAAGATGTTATGGGAAATATATATTAATAGAGTCAAAACCCAAGGGACACTACTCCATTTGTTTAAAAAATTATCCTTTAGAAGCAATTTCTATTTTGGATTATGGGGCATTTTTTCACATTTTCAACGACCCATTTGAATTTCACAAATCTCAAAAGCACAAAACAAGAGTTTTCATGCAGTTGTTCCTCTTCACAGTTAAATTGTCTACAGATGAGCATTAAGTTCTCTTTAAGCATTTCTAATTTGCTAATTTATAGCAATGAATCTTGTAAATCAAGGTCTTTCTGATATCAACTTACACTGAGAGAGATCATTTGCACTGCTTTGTTTCATTTCTTTTGTCTTTATCATTCTATTTGCATGAAACGTTTTTTGCACTAAACCTGAATTACACAAGCACTGCATATCATATGTATATTTTCCTGTAAGTAAAGTTTTAATAAGTAATAAGGTACAAAAGCCAAAGAGGACAGGAAGATATTTGTTATGGCATAATTAATAAATAGAAAATATCTAGTTTGGTTGTGTTAGGATAGCTATGTTACCTACTGAAGTAATTATGTTTACAGTTGACCTTTAAACAACATGGGTACAGGTCCACTTCTTTTTCTTTTTCTGAGATGGAGTCTCACTGTCTTCCAGGTTGGAGTGCAGTGGTGCGATCTTGGCTCACTGCAACCTCTGCCTCCTGGGTTCAAGTGATTCTCCTGCCTCAGCCTCCCAAGTAACAGGGATTACAGGCACACACCACCACACCCAGCTAATTTTTGTATTTTTAGTAGTGACGGGCTTTCACTGTGTTGGCCAGCCTGGTCTCGAACTCGTGACCTCAAGTGATCTGCCCCCCTCAGCCTCCCAAAGTGTTGGGATTACAGGCGTGAGCCACTGCACCAGTCTGCACTTCTACATGGATTAATTACAATAAAAGTTGGAACAAGGGTGCCTGCCTCTCGTCACCCCTTCCACCTCCTCCACCACTTCTGCTTTTGCTATTCCTGAGACAGAAACAACTCCTCCTCCTCCTCCTCCTCCTTTTTCTCGTCAGCCTATTCAATGTGATGATGAGGATGAAGACCTTTATGATAATCCACTTCCATTTAATAAACAGTAAATATATTTTTTCCTTACAAATTTCTTAATAACATTTTCTTTTTTCTAGCTTACCTTATTGTAAGAATACAGTATATAACACATATAACACACAAAATGTGTGTTAATCAGCTTTATGTCATCAGTAAGGCTTCAGGTCAACAGTAGGCTATTAACAATTAAGTTTTTATAAAGTCAAAAGTTATACCTAAATTTTCAACTTTGAAGAGGGAGTCGGGGGGGGTGGGGGTTGTTCCCCTAATCTCTGTATTATGCAACGGTCAATTACATTTTAAAGAAATTTAAAGAAAGAAATGTGGCTAATGAAACTAATAGTAATTCTATTTACATTTTAAGAAAACTTTCCTATGAGGGAATTTTCAGTAACAAATTACCTTTACAAGATGGGAGACTGTATATCTAATGGACTTAAAACAGCTATAACACATAGAGCACTCAATAAACATTTGCTCTTCTGTTAGCTCTCTCAGTCTTCATCTAGGAAAACCATTCACAAGAACTAATTCCTGGAGTTCCAAGTATCCCAGAGCATCATCACATGAAGTTTAATGACAACAACAGGGTGATAACTCAATAGTAAAGATGGAACCTACAGGGAGAACCATTAATGGAAGCAGAGGACAGAAGAAATTATAGACTTTGCAATAAGAAAGGGCCTTTGAAAATCCCCCATCATAAGAGGGGAATATAATTTGAAACTTTATGTAATTAATGAATCTAATTAAAATTGTGCTAGAGCGCTAGAGAAATGTTGTAAAGTGTAGTCCAAGGACCCAAAAATAAAATCATACCAGGTACTTGTTAAAACTATGAATGGCTAGACTGTGGAAATGAAGTACTTCACGGAGTGTCCCAGATAACTCTGATACTCATTCAACTTTAAAAAACTGCCACTAGGGAAATGCCTTGAGCTACTTCTAGAGCAGTGGTTCTCAATGGGAGATAGAAATTATCAGAATCATTTGGGACACTCTTTCAAATTACATTCCCCTTCTCAGTCCAACCAGGGAGAAAAATAATTTAAAAGGAAAGTCTTCTGTGTTTTGAAAAAGCTCCTTTCCCAATCAAAGGGAATAGATCTTGTGGGTTTAATACAGCCAAGATAACAGATGTTCCAAAAGTTTAGCACCTCAGTTAAATCAGGAGGAAATATGGTACACAGAACCAGAAAATCATATCCTTTGCCTTACAATGAAATCTTCCCAGCTACAGAATCTTCAAACCTCCACACCTGTAAACAAAAACCGAAAGGCCAACATTTCTTTTCACTTTCTCCGCACTTAAGCTACCTCTTCTTATGTATGACAGAACTTCCTCTTGGACACGAAAGTAGTATTTTGGATCTCCCAGGACATAGTCCATTTGTGGCACAGTATAGCTTTATGATTCAGACCAAATGCTTACTGGTCTGTGGCAAGCAAGCAAGAAGTGTCTTCTACTGGGGAAAAAAAAAACTGAACTATCTGGTTTCTTAAATATTTCTTTCAGGAATGATAGGAATTATGAAACTTCTTTCGAAAAACAAGTAAAATTAAGGATGATCATGATTGTGTGTAACATAAAGGAGGAGGAGACAAAGAGAAAGAGAAAACATTCCTATCAAACTTAAAAAAAAAAGCAGTACCTAGCTTATATAGACTTACTAATAATAATTCTACATTTTTGATCAGGGTAAAAGAAAGAGGGAGTAAAGCAAACAAAAGTCCTCACACGTCTGCTAGTACAGTACTACTGTAACTGTGCTAGACCCTGAACTATCCACATTATAAGAAGTATCACCAAGTGTCCATTGTCATATATTCCAGCAGCATCACCATGTAGGACAATCCAAAGAGATATGGTTATCAAAAACCTACCCAGTAGGAACTCAGTGTATGAGAGAACTCAAGAGACCTTGGTACCAAAGGTAGTGAGAAGTAGAAGGAAAGAAAATCAACCACAAGGAGAAAAATAAAAATAAAAGCAGTCGATAAGCCTTTGTGCATCTAACATTCTGAAAGTTTCAACATTCCATTTTAATAAAACATATGATGACTGGGCACAGACAGTTTCCCACTGTGGTTAACCTTAATGCTTAGCTATAGTCTTAGCTATTATTAAAATATTAAGTGTTGCAACCATTTGGAAATCTAACTATAAATACACATTAAAAATTAAACAAACTTGAATTTTACTCATTTCAACCCATCTCTAAATTCACATAATCCTTTTTTACTTTTTCATTATTGCCCTTCTCCAAACATTAAGATTAAGTGTGTTTGGGTATGAACAGATATTTGGATTTTACAGACACACCCACTCAGTTTTTTAAATCACAAATTCACATTTGCTGGGTTATGTAAAATAAAAACAGGCTATAGTATGCTATAATTTTCTACAGATTAGTACATACTGTGGATTTTGTTATCAGAGACTGCCCCCTACAGACATTTACATGTCCCAGCCTATGGGATCCACAGAAGGACAAAAGAAACTGGAGGTGGGGGCGGGGTGGAAAGACGTAGGTCAAAGGGTACAAAGTTGTAGCTACATAGGCTGAAAAAGACTAGAGTTCTAACATACAACACGGGGGCTACAGTTAATAATATCGTAATGTATACTGTGAATTTGCTAAGACAGATTTTAGGTGCTCTTAACACAAAAGAAGGTAACTATGTGAGATGATGAATATGTTAATTTGCTTGATTATCATGTATAGAATAGTTTGACTATAATACTCACTTCACTATGTATTAATATATGTATATCAAAACATCATGTTGCACATGTTAACTATATAATTTTTTAATATTAAAAAAATAATTTTTTGAGAGTAGAGACCACCAAAACATCAATTTCCCCACTCAATCCTAACAGCGAATTCCTGAGAAAAAGCCACTCTTAACCAAAGTTGTCACTCTAAGACTCATTTTTACAATAAAACCAATGCATCTTGACATTTATCAACTGTCATTTCCCTTGAGTTTTTCTTAGAAATATGTCTCCCTTACTTCTTCCCTCTCTTATTCTCTGTTGTGCATGCACACACACAAAACAGGAAGATACACTTGGAGGGAAATTTCAGAAAAATACACTTTACTTCTACAGTAGAAGTGTGAGAGTGGAGCTTCACTTTACACTTCCTGGATGTCAAAACTCTTGACATTTTTAAAGAGTATTTATGACTTTTGCAAGTAAACAAATTTTCAGAAATAAAAGCTGTAACAGACAATATAGGAGAATCTTTATAAACTTGGGATATGAAGGAATTTCTTTAAAAAGAAAATACAGCTATTATCTTAAAAGATGATTAACTATAATAAAACTCAACTAATACCTATTTATCAAGGGATGCCATAAAGAAAGTGAAAAGACAAGTTACAAACTGGGAAAAAAGATTTGCAACACATATAAATGACAAAAATTATTTTAAAATAATAATTTTAAAAAGAACAATACAATAGAAAAACGGGCAAAAGACTAGAACAGGCACTTCATCAAAAGAGAAAAGCTGAATGGCTACTCAATAGGTATGTCAGGATTTATTTCAATTATTCTACATACGCTGTAATATTCTTTTGTATAATCAGTACTTAACAAAACAGTTTTTTAACATACGTTTTTAAATTAAAAAAAAAAAAAAAGAAACAAAGTTGATCTCTGTAAATAAAGCCAGTACCTTTAACGTCAGGCCTAATGTACGATAGCAGACTGAGCTCCCCTGGTTTCTCAAGCAGTGCCCTGGCTGCTCCTTCTAAGCCCAACTGTCTTGCTCTCTGGGCTTTAGTCCCTTTGCTTCCAGTTTTATATGGAGCAGACTAGAAAATAAAGACAGAAAACATATGATTATGTTTTAAAAAAACAAAAGTTAAAACTAGGTTACAAAATTAGAGGACATGCTGAGAATGCTAAAGAAATCCTTTTCTCAATCTTTTCCTCTTCCTTCAGAGATGAATTAAAACTAATTTGAAAATGCTTTACTGTATGAAGATGGTATGTGCTTTATCTTATTCTTTATATTTTTCTATATGCTAAATTAGTTGCTTGGTTTCACTCATCTTAAAAACTCATTGCTTGGACTGCAAAGTCCTCAACTCAAGCAAGCTCCTTTAAAAGTGTTCTACACATAATTCTACTTCTTCGTTTTTTTTGTTTTTTTCTTTTTTTTGAGATGGACTCTCGCTCTTTCGCCCAGGCCTGAGTGCAGTGGCGCGATCTCGGCTCACTGCAAGCTCTGCCTCCCAGGTTTAAGTGATTCTCTTGCCTCAGTCTCCCAGGTAGCTGGGACTACAGGAGCGCACCACTACGTCCAGCTATTTTTTTTTTTTTTTTTTTTTGCATTTTTAGTAGAGACAGGGTTTCACCATGTTGGCCAGGGTGATCTTGATCTCTTGGTCTCGTGATCTGCCCGCCTCGGCCTCCCAAAGTGCTGGGATTACAGGCGTGAGCCACCGCACCTGGCCGGTCAATTCTTCTACTTCTTTTTTTTTTTTTTTTTTTTTTTTTTTGAGATGGAGTCTTGCCCTGTAGCCCAGGCTGGAGTGCAGTGGCACGATCTCAGCTCACTGCAACCTCCTACTCCCGGGTTCAAGCAATTCTCCGCCTCAGCCACCTGAGTAGCTGGGATTACAGGCACCCGCCACCACGCCCAGCTAATTTTTGTATTTTTAGTAGAGACGGGGTTTCACCATCTTGGCCAGGCTGGTCTTGAACTCCTGACATCGTGATCAGCCCACCTCGGCCTCCCAAAGTGCTGGGATTACAGGCTTGAGCCACCGCGCCCAGCCAATTCTTCTACTTCTTAATCCACTCACTCTCCAACCCACCATCATCTGGCTTCTCTTCTCACATACCTTGCAGGAAATGATATCACAAAAATCCATGATGATCTCCTAATTACCAAATATATATATTTTTTTCAGTCTTCATTCTGCCAAACTTCTCTGCTACACATAACTGCTGATCATGACCTCCATCTAAAACTCTCTTCCCTGCTGTTCCAGGGCACCATCATCTCCTGATTCTCCTCATACTTCTCTATTTTTTTCCTACCTCCTTATGCTCTCACATCCTCCATCCACACTTCAAAAGGTGGTAACCTCCAGTGGTCAATCCTGACCTGCTAACAAACACTTCTTGAGTTCTTCCATTCTCATGGTTTCACGTACCAACTACAGGCTGAAGACATCCACATCTGGATCTCTAGTTCAGCCCTCTCTGATAAGCTTCACGTTTGTATAATCTACTGTCCTTCCCTACTTGACTGGAAATTCCTTGAGACAAAGACTATGTATTTATTCATCTTTGTAAACCCAAGTGCCTAGCACAAAAAAAACACTCTATAAATATTTATTGAATAAAGAATAAATATTTTGTTGCATTAAATAATGGTGGCTAATGACGTTAGCTTTTTATTTCTTGGTGTTCTTTAATCATAAGAAGACCCAAATTGCAATATATTCAGGTATTACATTAAAAGATAAAAAGGATTCCTTACCACGTGTTCTAGTTCTTCAAAAGTTTTACAATTCAGCATGGCTTTTAACAAGCACTCAGACATCTTCCCTTCCTTCTTAATTTTCTGGATTGTACTATGAACTTTCTTTGCAACAGCCCTGAAAAGAGAAACTTTTGTAATATACCAAAACTGTATGTCAAAACTTTCTTTTCAAAGCTACCTCAAACTTACAGAAAAGTTGCAGGTAAAGTAAAAGGAACTTTATTGTCTCTGAACTGTTTGAGAATAAGTTAACATCCCTGCACTCCAACACTTTAGTGTGATTTCCTACAAATACAAATCTTCTACATAACCACAAAATAACCATCATTATCAGGTAATTAACACTAATATATTACTACCATCTAATGCAGAGCTCATTCAGGTTTTACCAACTGTCCCAATAATATCCTTTATAGTGGATTCAGTTAAGAATTATGGGTTACATGTAGTTGGCATGCAACTACAGTCTCCTTCAAGCTAAAACAATATTTTAGTCTCTCCTTGATTTTCTTCTCCTTGATAAGGCCTTGATGTTTTTGAACGCTACTGGACAGTTATTTTGTAGAATGTCCTGCAGCTTGGGTTTCTCTGATGTTTCCTCACAATTAAATACCGATGGAGCATCTTTGGCAGAAATATCATAGAAGTCATACTGTGTTCTTACTACACGTTATTAGGTGACAAATGATTTTGATTTGTCTCATTACTAATTAACTTTGATCATTTGATTAAGGTAGTATCTGTGGGTTTCTCCAAGACACAGGTACTCTTTATTCCTCTTGTAATTATAAGTATTTTGTGGAGAGGTACTTTGAGACTATATAATTATCCCATTCCTCATTAAACTTTGAATTTATTCACTGATTTATTTATATCACTATAGATTTAATGGTTTTTTATTTTACTTAGTGCTACAATCCATTGCTATCATTTATCTTAATGTTCAAATTTTTCCAGATTTGGCCAAAAGTAACCCCTTCAAGCTAGCTTCTGTGTCCTTTTGACATGTATCTGTCATTCTGCGAGCACTTCCTTATTCTCTGGCATATGATATTTCAGGCTTATCTTCTAGTTTCCCTGCCCCAGCCCTGGAATCAGAAGAATGATACTTAAAAACCAAGGTATAGGTACTAGATATGCTCATTGCTACTGGAGTATCACTGCTCAGGATGGGCACACCTAGCACCCATAATTGGTTTCCAAATACCATTCCCCACTAAAAAGAACCAGGATTCCATGTAGAAAAGTTGATTCCAGGAATCAATTTACAGGGATCACTAAACAACTAACGACAAAAGGAAGGGTGGGCACAGTAGTTCCCCCACTTTACAACAGGTTTTCACTGTGAATATACAATCCTGTTGTTACAGTTAATGCTTCTCATCCTATTGTATTACCTCCTATTTATAGAATCTGCCTAATAATGGTATTGCTAAAATGATGGGCAAAAGTTAGAGATGATAATATGATTTATTCAAAATGATCGATGGAAAAGAAAATTAAATCTACTTGTAAATTAAAAAAAAAAAACTAAAGGCAGAAGACTATAAATTAAAGAGAAGAATATAAATTAAAAAGAAGAATATGCAGTACTTAGATTACAACCTGTATGTCTTCTATAGTCATGGTAGCCCAAGACTGTTTTCAAGGGCTAAAGCCTACCAGGTCATTTTAACAAAAAGCCAATTCCTTTTGTCCTATTAGCCTGCATATAAGGAAGAAGAGAATTATCTTTAGAGAAAAATACAGAAAACTTTTCTTACTATCCAGAATCATACTCTTTAATTCACTTTTCAACAGTGAATTTAAAAATGTTTTACGTTGCAACCCAGTATACATACATATAGATGCTACATAATTGAAACATTTCATGAAACAATATTTGCCTTTACCACATAAATGTACTCTTGTATTTTCTATTCACTATTTCATTTTTTAAGTGGTATGACTTATTAAATTGGTTTTACTTCTCATGTAGGGGTAGCAATTAACAAATTGAAAATCAATGCTCTAGTTATAGAAAATGCTGAGCTCAAGAAAAAATAAAGATCATATCTCATTACCAGAAAGAAATTTCTGTATTATAGAAAAAGATCTCTTAAGTTCCAGTCAATGCCCCCACTTACTTCAAGGAATATTCACTCCTCTACTAATATTCAATGTATTCCCCTATTCATAGAAACCCAGAGAATGGAATTCTTTTGCAATAGAAGGGTTTTTTAAAGAAAAAGAAAATAATAATATTCTTGATATACAGCTCCTATTTGTCTCCCATACAACCAAATATTGTTAGACTACCCTTTAATTTTTTAAGCAAGCTTTTCTTGCTTGTGAGGCTTTCTCCAATTTCAGATCCAAAACCCTCAGACTTTCTTAATTACCTTGCCTTCAACCAAACAGAAAGCTTACTTCAGAATTTGCAAACTGCTGGCCTTCTAGGTGTGGTCAAGAGTGGTTTTGTTTGGCCTAGAAATTTGTTACGTAAAAACTCAAATTACCAGCTTCTTTTCAGAAACAGGAAGAACCAGCAAACTGGGCAGACAACCCTGCATGACAGTAATCTACTGGAGACGAGCAAGGGTTGCCCCTCTTAGACAGGGTTTGTAATCTCCAATTCTTATTCCCCATGCTTGATTATCCTAGCCTGGCTCTGGAACATTTGCATCTGAGACTATTTGATTTAGTCATTTATATTTTTACATTGGCAAATTGATTCTGCCTCTCAATGAAGTATAACTTTCCACATATTAGCACTTTAATTCTCCTGACACTAAAAGAACGTCAAGAGGTAGAAAAGTGAGATGCAAGTTCCCCCAAAATAACAGAAAGCTTGTCAAGCTTGTTATAAAAATTACCCTTAATACTTTTAAAATGGCTTCATAGTAGAATGATAATCCAATTTTAATCAGATCTTTTTTGTACACTTGAAGAATGTACACATTAACACAGTGCCCATGGGAGACATGCAATAAATGCATAAGCAGTGAAGTGTTTTAATAAACCCTATCGAATAATATGGTCAGTCTTGTAGTCTTTGTACACATATTTCTCAGTTATTAGCAGTGAGTCCAGAGGCATAATTTTTTTAAAAAGGTACTTTCCATTCTGTAACCATACAAAACTTACAATCCACTATTGTTAAATTACCATAACCATTAAAAGTATGGGAAAAAGGCTGGGCATGGTGGCTCAAGCCTATCATCTCAGCACTTTGGGAGGCCAAGGCGGGTGGATCACTTAAGGCCAAGAGTTCAAAATCAGCCTGGCCAACATGGCAAAACCCTGTCTCTACTAAAAATACAAAATTAGTGGGGCGTGGTGGCGCATTCCTGTAATCTCAGCTACTCGGGAGGCTGAGGCAGGAGAGTCGCCTGAGCCTGGGATACAGAGATTGTAGTGAGCTGAGATTGCACCACTGCACTTCAGCCCAGGCGACAGAGCAAGACTCTGTCTCCGAAAAAAAAAAAAGATGGGAAAAGGAAATATACATATTTCCTACCAAACTCTATACTGCCAAAGAACTCTCCACTTAGGAACTTTATGAAATTAAAAGGACAGATTTATGTGAGTGGTTAAAAGAGTTAGAATAAAATGTACTTTCTGAGTTTCCTGCTGGCAGTCCTAATTTTGCCATTATGCCCAACCTTTTCTATGAAAGAAGATGACAGTCAAACTCTGAGGCACACACTTTTACTGCAAATGACCTTTTTGCTAATACATGCTCAAGCTATGCATAAACACACCAGCAGAGGGACTCCATACACTCGCTAAATAAAGAGGACTATATCCAGATTACAATAATTCAAGGAAACAAAATGTTGAAATTGTCAAATATACCGTCATTCACTTTCTCACTGTTCCTCATTGGCCTTTTCCCCTTACACTAGGCTTATTCTTTTTTAGGTTTCTTACCGTAGCTCTTCTAGGGTTTGCTGAACTTCTCTCAAGGAATCAGCATCAAGGTTATTAATGAGCTCTTTTCTATAACGTATAATGAAGGGAATTGTGTTATCATCATTAAAGAGACGAATGATGTTGGCACAAACCCAAGGTTCAATATTAGTTCTCTCAGATAAAACCTGCAAATTAAAGATACTTAGTGATTTAAAATGCTGAAAATTAAACATCTATATCATGTATAATTTAAAACATAGTATCAAATAATGTTCTCCAGTGACTTAGAAACTACTTGCTATAGTTTTTTAAAAAAAAGAAAGCCATATAAAATACATGTATCCATTGACAATCATAATGGTAAAATAGCCATTTCACAAATTCAATAAAATCTAATCCAAACCACTGTATCATTCAAATTCCAGTGTTCAATGAGGGCACTTTTTAATGATGCAATGATATACTTTTCATCTCTCATATTGGTAGCAAAGCAAGGAGTTGGTAACTCACTTTGTCAGCATGAGAGCAAAGGAAAGCCATTTTTAGTCATTGCTAGTGAGCAATTTGGCAATATCTATGAAAATTTACAATGCATAAACAAACTTTGGCCCAGCAGCAATTCTACTACTGGAAATTTATCATAACATATACATGCCTCTAGAAAATATTATTTATAATAATTTTTTTTTGAAGAACTGTCCCTAGCAGAGTAAAGGTGAGCAAAAACCTAAGTTTACAATGGAGGAACTGGAAAATATGTTATGCCCATACTAAATACCATGCAAGCATTTAAGAATCTGAGGCAGCTCTATATGAACTAATATGAAATGATTCACAAGATCTGGAAATAAAAAGGTAATTGGTTGGGTGAGGGTTAGAGTTGGAAGACCCTTCTATATCTTTTGAATTTTGTATCATGCACAAATACAACATCTTCAAGCTAATTAATTACTTTTTAATTTTTTTATTTTTTTGAGACAGTGTCTCGCTCTTTCACCCAGGCTGGAGTGCAGTGGCACAACTGTGATTCAATGCAACCTTGAACTCGCAGGCTCAACTGATCCTCCAGCCTCAGCCTCCAAATAGCTGGGACTACAAGCCACGCCATCACACCTGGCTAATTTTTTTTTTTTTATTAGTGGAAATGAGGTCTTACTACATTGCCCAAGCTGGTCTCAAATACCTGGGCCCAAGCAATCCTCCCGTCTCAGCCTCCGAAAGTGCTGGGATTACTGGCATGAACCACCGAAACAGGCAATTAATTATTTTTTAAAATATTTGTTTTAAAATATTATTTATTTAAAATCATTGGTATTTTAAATATTTAATTATTTTAAATTATAAATATTAAAATATTTAAAATTATTTTAAATTATAAATATTAAAATATTTAAAATTATTTTAAATATTTAATTATTTTAAATTATAAATATTAAAATATTTAAAAATTTTTAAATATTTAATTATTTTAAATTATAAATATTAAAATATTTAAAATTTTTTAAATATTTAATTATTTTAAAATATAATTATTAAAATATTTAAAATTTTTTAAATATTTAATTATTTTAAATTATAAATATTAAAATATTTAAAAATTTTTAAATATTTAATTATTTTAAAATATTATAAATATTAAGATATTTGAAATTATTTTAAATACATATTAAAATTGATGTTAATTATAATATTAAAATACTAATATTTACAATAATATTAAAAGATGATTAATTATTTAAATATTTAATTATTTTTAAGTCTACAGGTTTTAGCAAAATGTACAGTTAAACAGAAAAGTTTACAAAAGTCAGCCCGGAAAAGAGAAAGAATAAAATCCAATTTTAGTAGCTTCCCAAACCCTAAGCAGCTCTTTCAAAGTAAAGAACAAAAGGAGTACGTTTTATTATTATTTCAACCCTGAATGCCCAAGATCTGACAGAAACTGGGGTAAAAAACAGGGAAAATTTATTAAAGAATTATCGTAATCAACTGATTATCAAAATCAAGTCCAGATACATAACAGACTGAATTTCAAGACTACATATGAAATAAATGGCTAAACTCCAGAGACTATAGAGGATATCTCATTCTCGGGGCACATTAAATCCTGAGGTCTACATCTTATCACCCATTCTGATGGATTAATGCCAATTCTGACAAGAAAGCCAATTTCACATTTCTATCCCTGACTCTCTTTCACATGAGCTCTAGACTCATTTAGCTAACTATTTTGACACATTCTCTTGGAAATCTAATGGGCATCTCAAACCTTGCATTTCCAAAGTTATCTTCTTCTCAAACTTATTTCTCCTCTACTTTTACCCATATTATGCTATTCAAATGGCAATTCAACCCAGAAAACTGAGTCTAACTCTTCCAACTCCTTCAACTCTTAAATCCAATCCATCTTAAGAACCAGTCAACTTGAACTGCAAAATATTTCCTTACTCTGTCACTGTTCTTCATTTCTTCTGCCCCACACCCCAGTCTAGTTCTAGCCTGAACTAATGAAATAGCTTTTACCTGTTCTCCCTGCATCCACTCTGTCTCATCTATTCCAGTATACACAAAGCAACAAGAATGTTATTTTCAAAATGTATACTGGATGTTGACCTGTCACTGATTTCCCGTTGCATTTGGAATCCAAACTCCTTACCATGACCCAAAAGAAAGCAGCCTCTCTCCAACCTCATCTTATCCAGTCTTTCCCTAGATCATTAGATGCCAGCCCAATAGCCTTCTCTCAGTTCCTAGAACAAGGCCAGTTACTTTGCTCTTAAGAGGCCTTCATGAGGCTCCTCCCTCTTTAGAAATACTCCTGTTGCTTGTTATCTTCCCTGACCCTCACAAAATCAACTCATTTATATTTTCTCTCTCAAACCTGTACCTTTTCCTGTTTCCTGTTCCAGTCCACATCATGTCATCTACCACAGAAACCTTAGGAGATACTGTGGTTATCTCCCATAATACTGTGGCCACCTCTCTCCATTATATAGCAGCTATGTGGCTTGACAGCACTTGACCCTAACTCCAGCTCTACAGCATGAGGCTCAAGGAACCAGCTGTTTTCAGAATTAACAGCCTGAGTGCTGCATTGCTCTGGCCAGAGAGATTAGCCCAATCAGCATAAAGTTAAGATTTGGGCTGGAACTTCCTCTGAAGAAATACAGTTTGTAGAGGTAGAAATTCAAAGTTGTAGCCATTTTATTGTTATGAGGATGGTGGTGCTAAGAGAATAGTAGATTGTTTCAGTGAACTGACCAAAAATTTCCTGTTACATAGGTCAATAAATCTCCTTTATTGCTTAAACTAGTTTGAGACAGTTTTCTTTCATTGTAATCAAAAGCATTCTAATCAATGGCCTAAGCATCACTGTATATTCTCTATCACATCCATCTACTCTGTCACCAAGGAGGCAAACAGAACTTATAAAATGTCTGTTCCCTCCCCCCTCAAGCTCTGTTTCCACTAATAGCATCTTTGATCTGAACCCATAGTAGGTATTTATTGTTGTCTATGCCTCCCACCCATCCCATCTGCATTACTACAGATATTTCTAAAATACAAATATAATCAAGCCCCTTATTTTCTTCTTTTGTTTGAACTTAAGCTCCAATGACTCTTAGCTACCTACAGGTAAGGGTCAACCACACTTCCCTCTTGAGAGGCCTTCATGAGGCTGCTCATGAAGAAGTTAGCAATCTAGAGGGGAAGATAAAATATTAATCCAAATAAGTAAAAATAAAACAGCATGTGCCAGGCAATAAGTGGCACCATGTTTTTAAAGAAAAGATCTCCCTGAGGTAACCAAGGGAGGCCTGCTGAAGGAATAGCATTTTGATTGACCCTTGAAAGATAGGCAAGATTCTGAAAGACAGAGATGACAGGTGGAAACGACAGGAATGCTCATCATTTTGGAACTGTGTGATTGTTAGAGCAATCCATGGGCTCCCACTACCCAACAGCTCAGTTATTGTTGAATAAAAGAAACCTAAGACAGCTAAGACTCCAGACACTGGATGGTACTAGGTCCTAACAAATCCATATGGCATCATGTATGTTATGGGAGTGTACAGTGCTGCTTATGCAAATTTGATCCTTGAAATTAAGGCTAACAAAACCACATACAAGCAGTCTTCATTCTGGGGACTCCAAATCACCAAATGTTTTCTATATTGATTCAGTTGAACATTTATTTTAGCTCATATTATATGCCAATAACCATACTAAGCCAATGATAATCAAGATGTAAAAAAAATCAAGTGCCTCTTCTCAAGGAGCTAACAAGCTAACAAAAGCAGACAGACATGTAAATAGTCAACATACAGTATGGTTCATACTCTGACAGAAGTGTATATACATTGTTTTAAGACCACAGGAAAGGTGGAAACATCGAATTCTGCAGCAATGGAAAAGCAAAAAGAGAATGAAGGTATTTCCAGGCAGCTAAACAGGGAGGCAGGAATTCCAGGAACAGAGAATAACATCAAAAGCCTCTGATGAGAAACCAATGCACATGTTTTAAATCGCTAAAAGTTCAGTAATGCTGAAATATATAAAACTGCCTTTGCAAAAATCATAACTGAGAAAATTATTACAGCGAAAGAGATCTGACCTAACCAATTCCATCTTGTTCCTAACCTCCAAGCTGTCCTTGTCCATTCCTAGGCGTACGCTGAACTAACTCTGGGAGGAACTCAGTTTACAGTTTAGCTTTGAAACGAAGACAATAACAGCATTTTTGCAAAACAAATCCCCTTCCTGCCTGGGGACTAGACTCCTTTGTAGGACTAACAAATTAGCCACAAGAGTAGAAATTATGGTTCAGGAGTTGATATGGTTTGGCTCTGTGTCCCCACCCAAATCTCACCTTGATTTGTAATCCCCATAATCCCCACGTGTCAAGGGCAGAACCTGGTGGAGGTAATTGAATCAAAGGGGTGGTTTTCCCCATGCTGTTCTTGTGATAATGAGTGAGTCTTACAAGATATAATGGTTTTGTAAGTGTCTGGCATTTCCTCTACTTGCACTTTTCCCTGCCACCATGTGAAGAAGGATGTGTTTGCTTCCCCTTCCGCCATGATTGTAAGTCTCCTGAGGTCTCCCCAGCCATGCTGTACTGTAAGTCAATTAAACCTCTTCCCTGGCCAGGTGCGGTGGCTCATGCCTGTAATCCCAGCACTTTGGGAGGCCGAGGCGTGCGGATAACCTGAGGTCAGGAGTTCGAGACTGGCCTGATCAATATGATGAAACTCCGTCTCTACTAAAAATACAAAAATTAGCTGGGCATGGTGGTATGCGCCTGTAATCCCAGCTACTCAGGAGACTGAGACAGGGGAATCACTTGAACCCGGGAGGCAGAGGTTGCAGTGAGCCGAGATTGCAACACTGCACTCCAGCCTGGGCAACAAGAGTGAAACTCTCAAAAAAAAAAAAAACCCTCTTTCCTTTATAAATTACCCAGTCTCAGGTATGTCTTCATAGCAGTGTGAAAATGGACAAATACAGGAGTCATGCAGCTGGAGGCTTCAGGATTTTAAAAATCCCCAAATTGCTCCTGGGGATAACATTCCCATTGTAAAACCTAAGATCAGTGCTTAAGATATTTTGCAGACCCTGCACTACATGGATCAGATGGCAACATGCAGATTGATAACCTAGTTCATCTGGTCTTATGGCCCCCACCCAGGAACTGACTCAGCAGAAGAGGACAGCTTTGACTCCCTATGATTTCATCTCTGACCTAACCAATCAGCACTCCTGACTCACTGGCCCCCTACCTACCAAATTATCTTAAAAACTCCAATTCCCGAGTTTTCAGGGAGACTGATTTGAGTAATACTAAAACTCTGGTTTTCCACACAGCTGGGTCTGTGTGAATTACTCTTTCTCTACTGCAATTCTCTTGTCTTGATAAATAGGCTCTGTGTAGGCAGTGGGCAAAATGAACCCATTGGACAGTTACATGTACAAGGAGTGTGAAGATCAGGTGAGAAATGGAAAGGTGGATGAGGCTACATGGTGAATTCTATAGAGTTTGAACTTGATATCCTATACTCAATATGAAGCTGTTACAGGTAGTTAGACAGGCATGAGCATGGCAGGAGAGCCCCCCTCCCCAACTAGGAATGTTGGGTGATGGTTCAGCAATTATCACATTGCCTCTCTAAAAGTGATAAATTGGCAGCCAGCCCCAGGAAGAGGCCATTTCCTGATGGTCCATACTTATTACACTAAAGTGTTAACTGAATGCAGACACCAGGGAGAAGCAACTTCCCGGACATGCACACTGAGAGACAAAATGGTGGAGTATGACCTTCCAGTGTGATATGGTTTGGCTATGTGCCCACCCAAATCTCAACTTGAATTGTATCTCCCAGAATTCCCACGTGTTGTAGGAGGGACCCAGGGGGAGGTAATTGAATCATGGGGGCCAGTCTCTCCTGTGCTATTCTTGCGATAGTGAATAAGTCTCACCAGATCTGATGGGTTTATCAGGGGTTTCCACTTTTGCTTCTTCCTCATTTTCTCTTGCTGCTGCCATGTAAGAAGTGCCTTTTGCCTCCCACCATGATTCTGAGGCCTCCCCAGCCATGTGGAACTGTAAGTCCAATTAAACCACTTTTTCTTCCCAGTCTTGGGTATGTCTTTGTCAGCAGCATGAAAACAGACTAATACATAGGGACACACCACCAAAGAAGCAAAGAAAGCCTCAGATGGGCTATGTACAACTTCCTAAACACACACCATGTACTCACCTCCCAAGCATAAGGAGGGCACTGCACATGCGGGCAGCCCACTCTAAGGGAAGAATCACGGGAAAGGGGCTGGCCTATAAAGTCCTAGGATCAAAGTTAAACACCACACTTGACCTCAGTGCCTGCTTGGGTCTCTTCCGAGCATACTTTCCTTTCCTTTCTTTCCTGTTCTAAAGCCTTTTAAACAAACTTCCACTCCTACTCTGAAGTTTGCCTTGGTCTCTCTTGCTTTATGCCCCTCAGTCGAATTCTTTGGAGGAGGAGGCAAAAACTGAGGTTGCTGCAGACCCTTACAGATTTGACATCAGTAACTTGGATACCTTCCACTGGTAACAAAGCCATTCAACAATGGATCCACTCATTGTTTGGTCTCACCTGTTGAGTCAACCCCCTTTTCAAGAGTTGATGAGATCTATGAACTACAGCAGTGGTTTACAATGTGTGGTCCCCAAACCAGCAGCATAAGCATCATCTGAGAACTTGTTAAAAATGCAAATTCTTGGGTCCCACCCAAAAGCCACTCAATCAGAAACTCTGGGGTGGGGGTTTAATAACGTGTGTTTGAGAAAAATTAGGCAAACAACAAAGAAACAACTAAAAGAGCTAAAAACAGAGAACAAGTCTTAGAGTTGGGAAGGGGTAGGGCAAAGAACTACCATAGTTTTCACTTATAAGCGATTCACATTTATTACTTTTATATTTTTTAAAAATTAACTGGCAGATAGGAATGAGAGTAAAGGGGAAAAAAGGCACTCTCGAGAATTTTTTGTACTTCTAAGACAGAGGTACTTATTTTGACTGTTGTTTTAGGCTAATTCCTCTATAGAGTCTATTACGTTCCAAACACTCTTACACAGTCAATATAAACTCATTTAAACTATATGAGAAAGGTACTTTATTGTTCCCATTTTATAAATGCAAAAACTGAGGGCCGAAAAAGTAAACTGCCCAAAATTCCACAAGCTATATAACCTCTTCAAAAATTCAATTTATATGCCAAGCAAGATGATTCCTCAGGCATAATCCTCATGTGTCAAGGGCACAACCAAGTGGAAGCAATGAATTATGGGGGGCGGTTTCCCCTATGCTGGTCTCAGGATAATGAGTCTCATGAGATCTGATGGCTTAAAATGCCCTCTCTAAAACCTCCAAGAAAATGCTTTTTCCCAAAGTGTCCTGAGATTTACTCCTCCAAAAGGAAATTGCTATTTCCTCAGTTAAAAAGAAAACATCTTGGCATCAACCAAATAAACTATAGCCTTAATCATCCAGGCAGCATCTGCATTTTAAAAGAACATCTAAGTTAAATGACTCTCTAATGAGTGAAATTGAGAGAATTTTCTATTCTAAATCACTCCCAAACCAGCGACTGGCCACCTCCCCTCTGAAAAGCTGTTGATTTCTGCTGTTCTCCTTACCCTTACCTAGTTATTTCACTGTATCACTTATTCTACTACACACACAAGTTTCCTTACAGATTGCAAAAGGAAAAACCAGTGCTGTTAGAAATCAGAAGAGTGGTTGTATGAGACAGAAGGAGGAATTGGAAAATAGTATAAAGGGGGATTTTGAGATGTTGGTAATGTTCTGGAAGCTTGTTGCATGGTTACACTTTTGAACATCTCTGAGCTGTACATTTATGTACAATATTCTGTATGTTATACTTCAAAAAAAGGTTGTTTTTTAAAAAGACCATAATAAACACTACCAACTAAATTATATTAACAAAAAGTACCAATTTCTCTTATTTAATTTCTCCTGGACAAATAGGTTAAACCTAATAAGTGGTTCCACCTTTATACACAGAATTGCACTGAGATACACAACTCAGAAATGTTGACCACTTTTTGTCTCACTTCTTTCCCCAATTTTGTCATCCCATGGCTTTCTTCACGCACATAATTCCACACAATTCCACACAATCTCTTGCAACAAAGGGAAAACAGCTAATAAAAAAGGTTTTGTTTGCCTTTTCTCCCTGTTTAGCAAACTTTACTAAGATATTACACATGGCTGCTCAACTCCCCTACACTCACCACTCCCGAAAGAAACTGGACAACAACCACCTTTGGAGCAGTTTAATTTTCCCAAAAATTGTCTGTAGCTGGTCACTTCTTCAAATTCTTATAGTTCATGGTATCCAAAACATATCTGCAAAATAACTTTAACAAAAACTAGTTTCTGGTCGCAATCACACATTTGCAGTTTGGGAGAAAGGGCTGAAAAGGAGTAGGTTGCTTCTGTCAAAAGACCTGGTGATCCCCAACCCCGGATCAGGAAATAGAAACAAAATACATTCATGTATAATGTCTGTTAAAACATTATAGGAAGCCATTGTTTTGGATGAAGCTCCTGCAGTAGGCCCCGATAGACCCTATGTTCCATAGACTAAAAATCAAAATGAACTCACCCTGGCTAAAATTTTAGTCACCAAACTAAAACAAAGTTGTTATCTGACTTTCCAAGAAATCTAAAGAATGATAACAGCCAATTTATCAAACAGGCCAGTTTCAATCTTCAATAGGCATGATAATAAAGTTCCCTCTACTTTAATCCTTATACAAAAAGACTGAAGTAACTTCATTTTATCTGTTATTTTTCTATTTTTCTGTCTCCCTCTCTCCACTTTACAAGGAAAGCAATCCACTTTCTGTTGTTTCTGCTTTCATTAGTCCTATCTATAAAACCAACCCCCCTGCTTAATTCATTAGAACACTTATCCTATTTTATGAAATGAAGTGTTGCTTGATTCTAGAATCATAAACCCAACAGAGATCTTTAAACTAAACTTGTAATTTTGTCCTTTTGACAAGCCTAAAACTAAATCAAGTGTTGACTATATAGTTCTGCCTCTCCAAACAAGACAGTGATGTTCCTGAAAAAAATCTGTAGTTTTCAGAGTTGAGAAATACACCTTGAACGGAAAAAAACAGAGGACCAAGTTATCATTGTGGCCAAGGCCATGGGGAATAGTACACAAAATAAAGGATATATAAATGACATTTCCACATGTTCAACTAGTAATACTTAATAATTTCCATACAATTAAGTTTCACAACCATTCCTTGCTAACTAGATAACTATTCAGGATTTCCCCCAAAGAATTTGGACATACATTTTGTGGCAGATAATATGCATGTTACAGGTATTTTGTTGAGTCTGATCCTTATCCAAATGTTCAGGACTTTTCTGATTTTCTGGCTTGGTATTACTTGACTCTCATTCTTGTCAGTTCCCTCTTTTTCCAACATCTACCCCTGTTCTCAACCATGTTTACAAGCAGGAATACAGTTTTAAGACAAAATTACTTTCTCTCTGACAAAGTTTCTCCTGTTTACGGAGAAATTTTAAAAGTATAGGAAAGGAAATCCACATATACCACAATAATTGTCTGTAAAATTCAAGTTAAAATTAAGGAAGGATAATTGCAACTGGTTAAATAAAAAGAACCCAAACATGTAAAATTCACATGTAATAGTTTCCCAGGCAATTTCCCTAAACCCACCAGGAAAATGCTGAGCTTAATAATTGCCATCAGATTGCTCAGCAAAGGTGGCAGCGTCCCAAAAACCACTTCCCAATTCACAGGCAAGGAGTGCCCAGATTCTCAGAGAATAGGCATTCAGCTGTCAACATTCACTTCAAAAAAGGAAGAGGAAAAAAAAATTGCTTGGAATTAAAAGGAAAATCTAGCATGCCTATAATTTTCAAAATATTTTCTAAGAGGGCAAAAGGCCATAAAATAGTTCTTGTGCCTTTAAATGAGACAACTTGCTTCCAAGTCACTATTCCCACAACACAACAAAGGACATTACTGCTACTAGCTTACAAATAAAACTTTTCTTTCTTTACTTTTCCTTTGTCACTCACCTTCTGGCAGCTGGGCACCTATCGCTCATCATACACTTGTCCCTCCTCATTCTATTCAGCAAGTAATCTTGCCTTTCTCTTGGAATGTATTTTCCAAAAGGCTTTGTTTAGCTGCTATTTTAGTGACATTACAGAACGCATTAGTGAACCCAGATATTCATTCCTAACCAAACATTAAAAGTCTAGGTTAACGGATTGCAGAACAAATTTTCTTCTCTCAAAGCTCTGAAATCACCTTCAGTTATACCTATTAGAGAAATGATGCAAACTAGAAACTAAATTCTACAAATACTTTGAGTCAATTCTCAGTAATTTCTCAGTAAGTTTTAACTTTAAGATGGTTTTTCTGAACAAACAAAACTGTTTTCTGTCTATTTTACTCCTATCCATAAAGGATTTTTTGATGGTTAACCCATTGCATCTACTAATCCATCATGATAATGTAGTAAACAAATCTAAAGTGCCTAGTACAGAGCCGAGCTCATAACAAGTCATCTATAAATAAATGGTAAGTATTATGATCCCTTGTCAATTAAAGATCTGTAAACCAACACCTTAAGGTATTATGGTAAAAGAAACCTAAGTATTTGTCAACAGTGGCTAATCATCACCTAGATTTATAAATTTACATTCTAAAGCTGAACCCTGAAGTAGACATCTTCTGGCCCAGAAATGCCCTCCTTTTCTCAGAGAACACCCCCCCACAACCCTAACACACACACACACACACACACCCACAACCCTAACACACACACCCACACCCACAACCCTCACACACACACACACACACACACACACACAGCCCTGGCAGCCATATTTCTAAAATACAGTGAGGCCTCAGCACCCCAGGCACTGGACCAGAGATGGATACCTGACCCAAATTCAGCCAATCAGACTTTCTTCTTAAAATTTGGAACTGGAGGCTGAGTGCGGTGGCTTACACCTGTAATCCCTGCACTTTGGGAGAAAGAGGTGGGCGGATCACCAGGTCAGAAGACGGAGACCATTCTGGCTAACATGGTGAAACCGTGTCTCTACTAAAAATACAAAAAATTAGCCAGGCGTGGTGGCACATGCCTGTGGTTCCAGCTACTCAGGAGGCTGAGGCAGGAGAATCGCTTGAACCTGGGAGGCAGAGGTTGCAGTGAGCCAAGATCGCGCCACTGTACTTCAGCCTGGGCGACAGAGTGAGACTCTGTCTCACAAAAAAAAAAAAAAATGTGGAACTGCAATACAGAAGCAACTGGTTAGTCTACGTAACTAATAAAACTAATGGCAAATAAACTAGGGAGCTGTCATTTTCTATCCTCTGTAAAGAAGCAAGAAAATCTTATCTGCTGAGAAAATAATAACTCAAACAGAGAAGCAGCAGAAATTGGTGATTATAAGACACCAGATAGAGAGAAAACTAACAGCACCTTCTCTGAGTCCTCACAGTTTCCAATTTCTGGTTCAAGTCCTTTGGGAGACTTGACCACATTCTGTCCCTTTTGTTCTTTGAAAGGTCCCTATGTCCTTGGTGAAAAACTCTTTTCTACTTAAGCTCATTATAAAGAGCTTATATACTTGTAACCTAGAGACAAAAGGTTAAGGCAGGGCCATTTTCTACATCTCTTTCCCTGTAACAGAGGGTGGGAAGCAGAGTCATAGAATAAGTAGCTCTTTACTACGAATAACTTATTACCAAGTCTCAAAGACCAGAGACTTCACAGTCTAAAACTTCTTAACTTCCTCCTGCACACTGCCAACTACCAGAGGTGGATCTATGTCAACAATGGAAATAACCTTAAAAAGCGTTAGAAAAGGAAAAGAGAAGGGAAGTGGTACATGTCCACCTGCCTCTGTAGGCCTGGTCTGGAACCAAGAACTTTAAGAAAGGCTTCAGGGTGAATCTGATGCAGGTAGTCCATGGACCACACTTTAAAACACTGCCTTCTAGGTATAAATGAACAAAGAAAAAGAAGGCATAGAAAGGAGCCTAATTATACTCTGTTTTTCCAAGATACCTTGGACTATTCATTCAGGAACAAGGTAAGAGGAAAAGCTGTAAAGCAACATTCTATTCCTTAGTGCACCACAGAGAAGAAAAATCATGATTAAAAATTACCAGTGACAGGCCAGGCGTGGTGGCTCATGCCTGTAATCCCAGCACTTTGGGAGGCCGAGGCGGGCAGATCACGAGGCAGGCAGATCGAGACCATCCTGGCTAACACGGTGAAACCCTGTCTCTACTAAAAATACGAAAAATTAGCCGGGCGTGGTGGCAGGTGCCTGTAGTCCCAGCTACTCGGGAGGCTGAGGCAGGAGAATGGCATGAACCCGGGAGGTGGAGCTGACAGTGAGCACCACTGCATTCTAGCCTGGGCGACAGAGCAAGACACCGTCTCAAAAAAAAAAAAAAATTACGTTTTACTAAGAGGTAATAGAAAAGGCAGCATGGGTACAAAGACATTTGTGACACACAGGCAGTCCCAGATTGAGAAGTGGAATCAGGATCCAGCAGAGGCCCTCAGCTCTACAGCCACAATCATAGCAAGGGAAAGAGTACACAATAGAATCACATGGGACAGATAACAGGGAGGGAAGTCACCCCCACCTACCCTGAGAGGCACTACCATAATTAAGTCTAAAATGGTCCCAGAATGTGCTGGGACAGACAAAAGCTCACTAGCTACTCTTCGGGTCTCCAATACTGTCCCCAAAGCCAGCCAAAAAAACTGGGAGAAATCTGATTTCCCCTGTAGTAAGACATATAATTCTGGCATCTCAAGTTGGAATTCTTACAGAATTTCCTTTCAAAAATCGCTAGGCCTTGTTGTAGTACATTACAACATTATACTAAGGGTTAAATAGATGTATGAACAGCCAGTGACCTAATCACCTACACTGCTTTTATAGGAAAATACAGTCCAAGTTCAAAGCAAAAACTTAACAATGAACCTGTGGGGGCCCAACCAGTTGGTACAATCTGTCTATATAGTTTATGTTCACTAAAACACCATAGCAAAGGCCAAGAGAGGCCACACATCTTAGCTGAAGAACTGATGATTAGCTACAACACAAAACAGTGTACCCAAGAAAGTTACAAGTAGGAAAGCCTCCAGAAATCACTGGCAAAACTGAAGAGAGAATTGAAAACCCCCAGCCCTTCCCTTAGACAGTACAACCCCTATGCTAGTCAAAAAGAAAGCACTCAAAACAACTAAAGTGACAGAAAAAGGCTGCACATACCTGTACCATGTCCCAATTCATTTCCACCTCCTCTTTAGTACTATTGGCATTTGCTGGAAACTTGACAGGCTGCCCCTGAGGATATGTCTCAGTCTTGATTTTCTTTAAAGCGGACTGACCAAATGTAAAGTCATCGTCATTCTCTTCCTTCTTGCATGTACCTCCCCACACAGTGCTTGTGGATGGTGTCTCTGAACTATTACTCTCACCCTCTAAGTTGCTGGCTTTGCTGGTTTCTTCTTCAACTTTCAGCTTTTTAGTCCTTCGAACTGTATGTGGCTGCGCTGCACATTTCTGTTTTGTCTTGGCTGTTTTCAGAGTCTGTACAGTATCCAATTTATTTTTTCTGTCTTCTAAAGCAGTATCAGCAATAGCCACAGAGCTATTCTATCAAACCACAAAGAGAACATATGAGAATTAGAAGATAAAAAGCAATTTCCTGGGACTATTACTCACAAATAAAAGTGAACAAATTATTGATACACACAATAACTTGGAAGAATCTCAAGTAAATTATGTTGAGTGGGAAAAAAAGCCAATCTCAAAGTTACATACTATATGAATACATTTATATAACATTCCTGAAGAGATTAGAGGTTGGCAAGGGTCAGAGATGATGGGGGGAGGTGGGTGTGGCTATAAAAGGGCAACACTAGGCATCTTTGTGGTGATGGAACTTTTCTGTCATGGTAGATACACAAACCTACATGTGCGATAAAATTGCACAGAACCAAGTACATACATATACATACACATGAATGAATACAAGTAAAACTGGAGAAATCTAAATAAGATCAGTGGATTTTATCAATGTATCTCGGTTGTGACATCTTACTATAGATTTGCAAGATGCTACCATTCGGGAAAAAATGGATAAAGAGTACATGGAATTCTTCTATTATTTCTTCCCATTGCATGTCAACTATTTAGAAATAAGCAGTTTAATTTTTAAAAATGAGTAAAGGATAGGTCTACACATGCCAGAAAACCAAGATTAAAACTTGCTATCAAAGTCAACCACTTAGCAGACAGAAAAGTAACACTCATTCACTCATACAACTCAACAGGCTACACATGCCACCAATTTCTGCTGAAGAGTAGAGGATAGAACACAGAATGATAGCAGGCTAATGTCAGGCATTTTTCTTTAACAAGAGTCCGCACAGCAGCCCACACAGGTGTCTAGGGACTACACTCTGCACTGCCACTGCCCCCCAATCCAAGTGACAGCTCAAGTGTGAAGAAATGAGACTTGGCACCCATCTCGGCACTGGGTATAGTGTAAATAAGATAAAGACCCTACCCCTAAGCTGGTCTGTTCTCCGTTACCTAAATGATGCAGATGGCACAAACATGAACAATTCCCAAACTAAATTTTAGTCAAAATTCTATCTTCTCTTTTATCAAGTATTTTTTCCAGAATCACTATTAAAAATATTAAGAACTACAATAAAGAGCACCTCCACCTGAATGCCAACCTGCCACCACCACCATCTGAACTTGAAAATAATGAACATTAGAGAGCCCTCTGAGTATTAAATTTTTTGCCCAAAATAGAATGGATCAGAGCAGAGACATAAAGATAAAATAACTCCCAGGCCTAAAAGAGTTGATAACCTAATCAAATGAATTGACATATCTAAAGAAAGTGTCAATCATAAAGGGTGTTGTCAGCCACTGTCTTAGCTTCAAGCTATTAAAACATTCAATTGTGATTGTGACAAGCATAATGCCTAGACCACAGTGGACATTCAATAAACTCAAACGAATGGATTTATCTCATCATCCTATTCTGAGTCCATGCTCATCAAGTAAATTTCTGATTACTACTTAATTCCCTATTCAGATTAGGCTCCAAGGAGAACGAAATGCTGGCCATAAGAATTTCAAGTCCTTAAGATTATTATTTTAAACTATTAAATATTAAACCAGCACTCTGGTTGTATTTATCTCTCTTGTGAACACAACTGATGTAAAAACACCCAAGAGAGATATATCTGTTCCCAAAATGTTGACAAAATCATGTTCCTAACTTAGAAACCCAGTTCCATCACTTACTATCTGTACACCGTGAGCAAGTCACTTAACATCTTTCTTCAGCTTTCTCATCTATAAAATCAGCATAAAAGCACTTGCCTCAATGGTTGTTATAAAGATTAAGATCATTTAAATGAAATGTTGAGCACATTGCCTGGCTAATGGTAAGCACTCAACTATTTGCTAATGCCACCATCATTACCAGCACTACCACACCCAGACCAACTCCTAGGAGAGGGAAAAGGGAATAGACAAAGAAACACAGTACAGACCCAAAAATTAAGACCCAGGGTAGGGGATGCCATTGCTGGCAGTTTTTGTCATTTACATGCCTTGTCCTACTCTGTAGAATAAGAAAATAACATCACCAATCAGGAAGACACTACAGAGTTCCCTCTATCCAGCTGTAGCACCTACCAGCTCCTCCTTAACAACAACGACTTCTGAGCCATCACTGATCTGTGGGGCATTCTTCTTCACCCGAGGCATCCTCTTTGGTTTGGATTCCTTGGGAGGGGGCTGTTTACGGCTTCTGGGAACTTTCTTTTGGGGCTCCCAGGCACTATCTTCCTTGTCATCTTCTTCAGAGGCAGATGATCTAGAAGTAAATCAACAGAATAATCTCCAGGAAAAATAAAAGCAAATGTCAAAGGTAAAAAAGAGATGCAAGATTCTTGAAAAAATGATAAAGTAGGAGGTGTTTAATATAAAATGGAGTGATTGAGTACAGGCTGTGAACAGTTATTGCTAAGAATTGAACCAACAGAGTTGATGACGGACCAGTATAAAAATACCGCAGTATGCTGTAAATCACAGCTCTGTCTCTCCATTCTCTTCTCACCTAACTGACAAACACATACACACATTCATTCAAGACATAGAAAATCATTTATTACCTTAAGTAATTTACTGGGTCATGTCAAACTATAGTCAATGTGAGCTTTTCAATTTTAACAGTGAAAAGCACTTAAATAAGTTCCCAACTACTAATCAAATTCATTTAAATTGTATTAAGTTATTCAAATCAATGAAAGGATTGAGAAATGGCTCTAGGAAACACACTAAATTACATTAAAAGCCAGCACCAAGACCCTTCCAACTGCTTTAATTAACCCTTTTTTCCTTTCACAGAATGGATTTCTTTCCTGATTAGATTGGATCAGGTGCGACTATAGTACTTTTCTAACAACGAAGAATCAAACTCACAGCAAGAGCAGAGAAAAAGCAGCCATGGGAACTCTTTTAAAGGACCATCATGCTCCTGCCAACCCAGTTAATTCCATTTCTACTCTAATGTAAAAGGTCAATATTAGTGAGACTTCCTTTACTGAGATGAGTGAATAGGGAAGTCTGGGTTTTTTAATGTTAAGTTCTTGCTGGGGGCAAAAACCTGACTGGATGACTTCTTAGCTAAATTATGCTCTAGAAGAGAATAATTATGATAGGTCAAACTACTGGTGTTCTCTTCAGAGGTACCACTAAGCCTGGTAAGGAAAAACAAACAATCAAACAAAAAACAGGAATAATCAGAATAACATAACAGCAGTGGAACTGAAAGAAACTATAATTAGAAAACCAATGAAATAGAAAACTAGGGTTCCACTCCTCATACTATCATCAAACTGAGCAGGATGACTTCTTCCCTCCTTAGTCTCATCACCTATCAACCAGGATTACTGACTAACCCTATTTCACAAAGGAATATCACCAAGATTAAAGGCCCTTTAGTTATTATGAACAAAACACAAGCACAGATACCGTTGTGTTATACATGATATAGTTCTAAGGCAGCTAGTCAACTCTCCTTCCCAATCACTTGAGCTCTCAGGAGCATCTGGCACTCACCCCTTAGAGCATATCCCTTACATACAGGAACCCCAGCCCTTGGTTTTCATACTACTTCCTGGCAGCTTCTCTTTAGCCCCTTTGACTCCTCTTCTCCCTAACCTCTAAATGCTGGAATCCCTCGAGGCTTAGTCCTCAGCCCTCTATGCTCTCTTGCCAGGTAATCTTGTATTTTCTCGATACAGGAATCTATATTTTATTTTTATTTATTTATTTAGAGACAGAGTCTCCCTCTGTCACACAGGCTGGAGTGCAGTGACGTGATCTCGGTTCACTGCAACCTCCACCTCCTGGGTTCAAGTGATTCTCACGTCTCAGTCCCCCAGGTAGCTGGGATTATAGGCACGTGCCACCATGCCTGGCTAATTTTTGTATTTTTAGTAGAGCCGGGTTTCACTATGATGGCCAGGCTAGACTCCGGACTCCTGGCCTCAAGTGATCAGCCCGACGTGGCCTCCCAAAGCACTGGGATTACAGGTGTGAGCCACCACACCCAGCTGGGAATCTCAATTTTATATAGTATCTCCAACTCGACCTTCCCCGCTTGAGCTCAAGACTTGTATATCCACTTTCACCTGAATGTCCAGCAATCACATCAAACTTACCAAGTCCAAAACTGAATTCCCGATTCCACCACTCTCACACCTGTTCCTCTTCCAGTCTTTCCAAAATGTCTGTCATTCTTTCATACCCCAAATCCAATCCACCACCATGTCCTGTCCACTCTACCTTCAAAATATATCCCAAATTAGACCATTTCTCATCACTTTCACATCTAGAATCCTATGCTTCTACAATAATCTCCTTAACTCATTTCCCCTACTTCCAGTTTTGCCCGCTATAGTCTATTCTCCACCAAGAAACCAGAATATTTTACAAATATAAACCCAGGTCATGTAACATCCCAACCCAAAACCTTCCAGTGGCCTCCCAACCCACTTCAAATAAAATTCTAATACCAGGGAAGATCAAGTTGGAGATACTGTATAAAATTGAGATTTTTATATTGAGCCATAAGACAAGATCAGCTACTAACAGGGAGGGGAGAGGGGAAGGGGGGTGGAGGAAGGGGAGGGCTTAGAATTAAGCCTTGAGGGATTCCAACATTTAGAGGGTGGTGAGAAGAGAAGTTAAAGGGACTAAGGAGAAGGATCTAAGCCTATTAGATCCAGATCCTACTCATTACAATCTCATTTCTTACTACTCTCTGCCTCATGTCTCTAGACTGGCCACACTGGTCTTCTTGCTGTTCCCTGAACACACCAAACTTATTCCTGCCTCAGGGTCTTTGCACTTGCTGCTTTCTCTATTTGGAACACCCATCCCCAAGATCTTTGCAAGCTGCACCCCCAAATCTCATCTAGATCTCTTGCCACATCTTCCGCAATAACTTTCTGACTACTCTATCCAAAATGCCCCCCGACTGCAACCACTCACTATGCTCTCTATCCCCTGCCCTGTTTTATTTTTCTTTATAGTACTTATTACTATAAATATTACCAGTCATTTACTTAACAAATATCTTCAGAGCACCTAATATGACTCTAAAGCAGAGATTCTCAACTGGGGATATCTAGCAATGTCTAGAGACATTTTTAATTGTTATAACTTAGCAGGAAGCTATTGGCATCCAGTGGGTAGAGGCCAAGGATGCTGCTAAAAATCCTACAAGAAAAAAGATAGCCCCCACAACAAAGAATTGTCTTGCACACAATGTCAGTAGTGCAGAGGTTGAAAAATCCTGCTCTAAAGCAATATATAAAACTCTATGCTCTCATGGAGCTTATATTCTAGTGTAAGTATTATGTTACATATTTAGTTGGTTACTTTCTCTCTCCTTTCGATACTTTATTAGCAACACTAGACAGAACCTGGAACACAGCATGAGTTCAACAAATACTTGTTGCATGAATGAATAAAAAAAGTTTTTTCTACCCACATCACTTAAGGAGTTAGAAAGTGACAGAATGCATTACTCCTTATTAAAATATTCATCATTCCCCTACCCACATATTAAACCAGTATGCTTACAACTCAGAGAATGAAGAAAATTCATCTTTCAGTACCACATCCTGGACCTGTACTTTCGCTCTTCTTGGCAATGATGACATCTAGAAGAAACAGAAAATAAAATCAGCAACACTTGAATATTCTTATCACTTTATTTGGCTACAAGTAATGGGTCATTCAAAACTAACATTTCATAGGAAAAAAACAAAAACAATGATGTTTATTCACAAGCCCAAACATCAGTTTCCTCTGCTATGTAGCTGCCAATTAAAAGAGTAGCTGGCTGGGCACCATGGCTCATGCCTGTAATCCCAGCACTTTGGGAGGCCAAGGAGGGCGGATCACCTGAAGTCAGGAGTTCGAGACCAGCCTGGCCAACATGGTGAAACTCAGTCTCTACTAAAAATAGAAAAATTAGCCAGGTGTGGTCGTGGGCACCTGAAATCCCAGCTACTGGGGAGGCTGAGGCAGAAGAATCACTTGAACCCAGGAGGTGGAGGTTGCAGAGAGCTGAGATTGCATAATTGCACTCCAGCCTGGGCAACAGAGTGAGACTCGGTCTCAAAAAAAAAAAAAAAAGAAAAAAAAAGAGTAGCTAACAGCCTTCCAATGGTTTAAAACTCTTAAGAGTATGGGCCATCTTTTAAAAAATATAAACTCCTACAGGGTGACACCTGTAGGAAAACTGTGTGCTTCATTTTTTAAGAATTGTGTGCTTAAGTATTCTGTGTTATTTTATGGTAATAATATCAGGCAGCCCCTTACAAAGTCCTTTATTAAACTATATCTCAAAGACAGAAACATTTTTTTCCTATTCTTTTTTTTTTTTTTTTTTTGAGACAGAGTTTCGCTCTTGCTGTCCAAGCTGGAGTGCAATGGCACGATATTGGCTCACCACAACCTCCGCCTCCTGGGTTCAAGCGATTCTCCTGCCTCAGCCTCCCTAGTAGCTGGGATTACAGGCATGCGCCAACACACCCGGCTAATTTTGTATTTTTTAGTAGAGACAGCATTTCTCCATGTTGGTCAGGCTGGTCTTGAACTCCCGACCTCAGGTGATCCGCCCACCTCGGCCTCCCAAAGTGCTGGGATTACAGGCATGAGTCACTGTGCCCAGCCTATTCTATATATTCTTAATGAATAAAGTAGAGGTCTCTCTACAAAGTTGGCAATGAAATAAATGATGCTGATTGACTGAGTAAGCAGCCAGGTTATTCTTAAAACAAGATAATCATTCCCTTATAATAAAAGTTCATTAAACTTAAATAAAATGATTAATCACTATGTGACTAAAAACTATTTACCAAATTCGAAGGCCAAGCTGTAAAAAAAAGTTAAGACAAATAACCAGAGACATCACATAATACGGGAAAGTAAATAAAATTACTTTAGCTGTTAAGATTAATTAGCTGTTAAAATTAATTAATAAAGGACTTTATAAGTGGCTGCCTGATATTATTACCATAAAACCATCAAACTATAAGGACTACACTAGGCTCTGACATGTTTGGAACCCTTTAAACAAGTTTCTGACCCAGTCATATGTTATAATGCCTCTGGTTCTAACATCCGCTTAGAAGAGGAAATAATCTCTCATGGAAATACTAAAGGGGTTGTCACAAAAGGGAATATGTTCTCCCAGCAGCTATAGCTCAACTCAGTCCAGTAAGTACACAATGATTGGGCAAAATAGTGCTCAGAGGGAACCAAAAGAACAACAGGAAAGCAGTCTGCAGGAAGTAGACAGGATAATCTTCCATCTTTCCCTTCACTCTCTTTTTGGCATATTAGGTTATAAAGATCATCCTTTCTCAAATTAGTATTTTTTAGACATTGATCATGAAAGAACAGGTAATTGTGATTTTTATATTATGTGTATCTTACCACAACAAAATAAGAATGGAGGAAGTTAGTGTATGACAAGGGTGGCATTTAAAATCAGGGCAGGGTAAAAATGGATTATTCAATAAATGGTATTGAGACAACTAGCTATTCCTCTAGAAGAAAAAAAGGAGTTTAATTCCTACCTCCACACCATTAACAAAAATTTATTCCCCAATAACTAATAGTTTAAAATGTACAAATTAAAACTATAAAAGAACTAAGAAATAAAGGTGATTCTTTTCACACTATTGAGGGGAGATGGGGAAATGGAGGTTTTCCTAAATATGACTCCTCAAAATTCCAAAACCAAAAAGACTAACAAATTGCAACACATAAAAATTAAAATCCCAAGCCAGTAGTGGGAGCATATGAGAACCAAACCAATTTACCCTGCAGTATTCTAAAAAAAAAAAATTCATATGAAGCAGTAGCTGATACCTTTGGAATTAAAGGTGAAACGGGTTAGGGCTGTGTATAAACTGACAAAGGAATATCTCTAAGTGTCCTACCTCACTTCATGCTATTAGGCAACTGCCCCAGGAAAAAGACTGTAAGTTTATTCTCTGGAGAAGGTATTAATGAAACAGTCTAGACTGTGGGCATGGGAACCATACAGACTGAATGCTAAAGGCAGAGAACCCTAGTCTTCCGCCACTAAATTCCTAAAATACTGCCCTCTAGGGAGGAGAATGGGAAGGCTTTTCTCTGGAGAATCTAACCAGTCCAAGAGTAAAAACTTGAAGGTGCTAAGCTTCCCATCAAACAACCCACCCAGATCACCTTACAATCACTCCTACCACCACATTCTACAATATGCCTGAATTCAGAACATTCCCACACAGACTACCATATACTAATTCTATCTCCACACTTCAGCCTTAACAGAAATGTGTTTAAAATAGGGACAGGCAAACCCTTGGCAGGCTTATGTTTTTGCTTAACCATTATCCTTAAAGAAGGCTCCCCTAAATCAAATATTTCCAACTGCCTCTTTATAAGGCACCCCGAAAGCAATATACCATGGAAAGATGAGTGAGTTGTAATATTTCTTTTCACAAATGTTAAAAATATCAATGTAAAAGGAAAGGTGGGAAAGCAGAATCTGCATGAACACACAAGCCAATTTCAAGCAGATCAGATTTAGAAAGAATATATACAAAAGCTGAAGACTTGGAAATTATGTCTTTAAAACTACCTACGACAGGTACACCCCCAGGAGTATGTATTCTCCAGTTTAAACACCAATATTCTTGAGGCCTGTTTCTCCATCTCCACTACTCCCATATCCTCTTACTTTGTGTCATAAAACTTGTTAGATTAACCAAAACCTCATCCATCTCCACGGTTTTACATACCGATGTCACCTACTTATTAACAATCCTAATCCCTCCATCCCAAACCGTGCCTTTAACATTCAGATTTCTATAATAAACTGCCTGTCTCTGAAACTATTTAGATGTCTCACAGTTAACTTAACACATCCACAATGGAACTCTTGATGACCATTTCTTGCTCTAAAACCTGTTCCTATTCCAGTCCTTCCCATCTCAATAAGTGGCACCCACCTATTTGCTAAGCCAGAACCTTGAAAAAAAAAATTTTTTTTTTTTTTTGAGACGGTCTCACTCTGTCACCCAGCCTGGAGTGATCTCAGCTCACTGCAAACTCTGCCTCCCAGGTTCAAGCAATTCTCCTGCCTTAGCCTCCTAAGTAACTGGGATTACAGGCGTGTACCACCACACCCAGCTAATTTTTCTATTTTTGATAGAGACGGGGTTCGTCACGTTGGCCAGGCTGGTCTCGAACTCCTGGCCTCAGGTGATCTGCCTGCCTCGGCCTCCCAAAGTGCTGGGATTACAAGTGTGAGCCATGGCGCCTGGCCAGAAAATTCTTTAACAGCTTCATTGACATATAATTGACATGCAATACACTGCACATGTTTAAAGTGTGCAAATTTGATGTTTTGACATATGTATACATATCACTACAATCAAGAAAATGAACACATTATCATCCTCCAAAGTTCCATTTGCTAAGTCAAAATGTTACAAATCTTTTTTTCTTTCATCTCACATATCCAGACTATTAGTAAGTCACATAAGATCCTCCTCCAAAATGTCTTGAATCTCCACGATCTTCAGTGAGCCTTTAGTCCTCAACCTCCCTCACTTGAACTACCACACTCGCCTCTTAACTGCCCTCCCTACTTCCACTCTTGCCCCTGCAACTCATTCTCCACTTATCAACTCAAGATCATTTAGAATATGCTTTAGAAACAACGAATTACTTCCCACCCCATCCTTCACTTAGAATCAAGCCACATTTTTATGAGGCCTTTGAAAAGGCCCTGTCGGACTGAGCCCTGCTCACCTTTCTAACCACCTTTACTACTTGCTGGAGCTCCTCAGCTCTTGTCATAACATTCTTTCCCACCTCAGGTACTCTCTGCCTGGAGTATTCTTCCCCCTGCTTGTCAATTGGCTGGCTCCTTGCATCCCTTAGATCTTAACATTTCAGGCCTAAAATAGGTTTCTCAATTATATTTTAAAAGGAGCCTATTTACTTCCTGTATACAGTAGGTTATAACACAATCTGTAATTATTTTTATTTTACTTGTTTATTGCTTGCACTGCTGTCAAGAGAGTAAATACCATGAAAGAAGGAAATGCATGTGCCTTATTCACTTCCATATCATAGAACCTAGCACTTAACAGATGCCCTACAACTATTAAATGAACATAATATGTACAAATATGGTCTCTACAGAGGAATATACATTTATTTTCCACCACTCTTAGGCAATGCCACACATTGCATTCATCTCTTTCTGAAGAAGTGATGGCACATAAGAATATTCCTATTCTTCAGTGACTTGGGATTTTTCCCTCCTTTCAAACTATCTTAATCACTGTAGGCACATGAGCATATTCCAAACCAATAATTTGGAGGTTGCTATGATGTTACTAAGGGAAGAGCCACTAAACTAGGACGACTGCAAATCAGGACAAAGGGGCAAAAGGACGTGCACACTAACAAATACTAAATTAAAATTGGAAAAAAAAATTTAAATTCAAGAAGGCAAACAAAGGAGGACAATTTCTTAAGAAGCACCTAAACAAGTTTCCATGAAGGACCAACAGAGTGCTTGAATGTTAGCAGATTCCCAAGTCACAAAAACAAAATACTAGAGCTGAAAGAACCTGAGATCAGACAGTCCCGCTATATTCAGAAATCTGAGACCCAATGAGGTGAAACAGTTTACTCAAAGGGGAAAGATATGTGGCAAAGGACTATAGCCCAGTGCCTGGAACACCAAGACTAGTCTCGTTTCCCATTCCACACACAATATGTTAATGACATGTCACGTGAGGGGTTCGAGGAAAGTTGCCTAGAGAGTTCCCAATTCATTCCTTTCCTCCGGTTACTGAGCGCCTCCTACATGCCAGGCGCACTACAGAAGGTGCAGTTGATTCAGACAGGGCCACCATGACCGTGAAAAGGGTGCTTCCTCTCCCACCTCCGATAATTTTAGGTATAAAAACAATCCAGGTAAATTAGCCGGGTGTGATGACGGGCGCCTGTAGCCCCAGCTACTCGGGAGGCTGAGGCAGGCGAATGGCGTGAATCCGGGAGGCGGAGCTTGCAGTGAGCCGAGATCGCTCCACTACACTCCAGCCTGGGCGACAGAGGGAGACTCCGTCTCAAAAAAAAAAAAAACAGGCTTGCCCAGGCTTTTCTATGTCTGTTATGCGCTAAGAGCTGCAGCAATTTGGCTGAAAAGAGGTGTCACGAGGTAGCTAGGAGGGGTTTTCGGGTGGTCGGTTGTGAGAGACCGCTGACAGTAAAATGTAATGAACTTCTCACTTTTAAAAAAGGGGTGTTATTGCCCAAATGAGCGCTCAGAACTTTTTTAATGGCCCCAAAGATCCCGGAGCCCGGACGCCGGGCTCTTGAGAACCCGCAAGACGACCGCCAAGGCGCACGCACAGCTCACCTTCCCGCCCGGCACGTCAGAAGACCCGAGATTCCGTGAGTGCCACCGCACCTTCCGGTTCCCGCCGGAAGTTTTTCAAACGCCAGAAGGTCCGCCTCGCTTCTTCCGGACCAAGTTAGCCACAGACCTCCAAGGCGCGGCGCTACCGAACGGGGCGGAGCCAGGCTGGACGGAGGCGGGGCTAGAGCGAGGATCCCGAGGGAGCGCCGGGGTGGGGCTGGTTCGTAGAAATGAAAAATGACTTTTTTTTTACGTGTTATTTACCAAGAACACTAAACTCTTAAGCCCACAGATACAGCCAAATAAATTAGATTATAAAAGTAGGGAAATAAGGCTGCTGTTGTCTACATTCGAATTTAGCAGATCAAAACCCCATGGATTTGTTTTAGAAAATTCTAAAAAGCAGCTTTCCACTGCTAATGACTTATTTCCAGGGACTCTGAGTACTGAAGAGCCTAGCAAGTTATTGAAATGACCTGTGACCGTGCCTTGTTGCAGATCTACCGGAAGTGAGCATAGATTTTACTGGATAATTTTTGTGATTGGGGGAAAAAAAAAAGGATTCTTTCTAAATTTAGTAAATCTAATCTTCTATATCTGAGATTGTTGGCCAGGAAAGATCAGTTTCCGAGATTGTTTAGGGATTTTTTTTTCCTTTTAATTAGCACAGTCGTATGTTGCCTTTAGTGATGGTTCCAGAAGGCCTAGAATTGTCTACTACAATCACAGTCTCCTTCACAATTTATGGTCCTGAAGAAATACTAGAGAACACCTTACCGTTCAGGATTGTGGGAAGAGAAACCAGATCATAGAAATCAACAACAATAATGTACTACTTACTATTCACCTACTTTTGATGTTGCATTTGCTACTCAGGTTTATGGTAAGGGGTTGTCTTGGTCAATTTTCTGCTGCTGTAACCAAATACCATAGACTGGTAGATTTATAAAGAAAGAGATTTGTTTGGCTTGTAGTTCTGAAGGCTGGGAAGTCCAAGACAGAGGGCATTATTGTTGTGTCAAAATATGATGGAGGGCATCATACTGGGGTAGGGGTGGGGGAGGCATGTGAACCCAATTGACTCCCGAAATAACTAACCCTCCTGTGATAATGGAATTAACTCATTCATGACCTAATCATTTCCTAAAGGTCCCACCTCTTCATACTATTACAATGACAAGTTTCAACTTGAATTTTTGAAGGGGACATTCCAATCATTGCAGAGGTAGTAAGGGTAAAGGTGAACTAATATACTGCAAAGTCTTTTGACATAAGTCCTGCCCTGGAGGAATTTACGACCAAGAGTAGGAACCAGATACAGCCAGAGGAAACAGACACCCAAGCAAAACAGTCTAGCTTCAAGGGTTGGGTATGCAGGTAGTAGCCACACTACAGTGAGGAGGAGAGTAAGAGTGGGCCAGCAAAGCATTGAAGCTTGACTTTCCTCTCCCCACAAGGGATTTTTGCCTTACAGCTGGGGAAGAAAAAAAAAATCACAAAAATAAATAGCCTGTTAAGATTTTAGACATCAGACATCTGGGGAAAATAAAATCTGAAGCAGGTTCTCTAAAATTAAAGTATGTAGGTAGTGGCCTACTCTAAAGGCCAATAAGGACTGTCCAGAGAATATTTCCCTTGGAATTCTATAAGAGAGTCACTCCCACTACACGCTGTCAAGGAAAATTTGTAATCACTTAAGTATAAAACAGGCCCTCCCACAAAAACTGCCTTTTCTGTCTAGGACATTGCCCAATCTATTGTTTACTTTTGGATCTCAAGTGCTGAATTCCAAGAAATTCATGGGTTTAGACTGAAAGCCTGGAATAATCCGGACACCCACCTGAGACTATGCAATAGGGTTTGGGAGTAATGAAAACATGTTTTGGATTTGATGGAGGTTGTTTTATCCCTCCAAAGTATATAGCTCTTCCCATGATATTCACTGATACATTATCATTTGTATGTTATTATCTGTTTTCAAGTCCTTCCCCTATGGGTTCTAGCTCCCCAGGGCAAATGTAATAATAATAGTAATAACTTACCTTTATTGATTACTTACCTGTGCCAGGCACTAAGTTAATGCTTTTAGATGTATTTATGTATATAATTCACATATTACCCCAATGCAATATTGCTATTAAACCATTTTTATAAATGAGAATACCAGGTATAAAGAAGTTAAATAATTCATCTAAGGTCACATCAGCTAATAAATTGTAGATCTGAGATTCAAATCCAATAATCTGCTTTACTCCAAAGCAAGTACTCTGAAAGGTATCCACATACAATTTGCTGTCTATCCACAGGGGATTGGTCTGAGGACCCCCCACAGATAGCAAAATTTACAGATACTCAACCAATCAGTGATAGAAAAAGTTGGCCCACCACATCTGCAGGTTCCATATCCATGAATGCAGATACAGATGGCCAGCTGTACCACAAACTCAAAGCAAAGACCTTTTCTCGCTCCACTATGGTGGCCAGTGAGACTCTCAATGTTTAAGGTGCTCCAGAACTGTCGAATCTCTAAATACTCTAAATAAAGTACTGTCTAACCACCTGAAACATAACAAAGCTATTCTCTCTATTGGCCTCAAACTAAGTTTCATAAGAACAAAAATTCTTAATATATTAATAGATGCAACTGTTTCACCTACTAATAGATATTTGGATCTAGGAACTAACTCTTGGTAATTTTTTATCTCCCCCTCTCCAACTTCTCCCTCCACCTACACAGTGCCTAATAATGCTTAACATATAATAGGTACTCAATAATATAGTAGACTAACTCCTGGACCCAAAAACATGTCTAAAGTAAAAACAAATTTTCCTCCCCTCTCCACCTTCTCCCGCCACCCACACAGTGCCTAATAATGCTTGACATATAATAGGTACTCATTAAAAATAGTACACTAACTCCTGGACCCAATAATATGTCTAGAGTACAAACAAATTTCTCTTATGAGAAAAGTAAGTTAAAGCTCTTGACACAGAAGGTGGGTTGCCATTTTAAAAATCAAGTGTACTTATGAAAATTCAAACATTTTATCTCTGAGAGTCAATCAGTGTGATGGTTAATTTTGGGTGTCATCTTGACTGGATTAAGGGATGCTCAGACAGCTGATAAAACATTACTTCTGTGTGTGTCTGTGAGAGTATTTCCAGAAGAGACTGACATTTGAATCAGTAGACTAAGTAAGGAAGATCTGCCCTCACCCAATTTCGGTGGACACTATCCAATTGGCTGAGGCCCAGATAGAACAAAGAGGAAAGGAATATTTTCTTTCTCTCTCTTTTGGAGCTGGGACACACTTTTTCTCCTGCCTTTAAGCATTAGAACTGCATGTTCCTTTGGACTCCAGGACTTAAATCAGTGTACCCTCTCAGCCCCATGTTCTCAGGCTTTTGGCCATGCAGTGAGAGTTACACCATTGGCTTCTCTGGTTCTGAGACCTTCAGACTTGGACTGAGCCCTACTGCCAGCTTCCCTGGCCCTCCAGCTTGCAGATGGCCAATCACTGGACTTCTCAGCCTCTATAATTTTGTGAGCTAATTCCCTAAAAAATATTCTCATATATCTTTATGCTGTATTTATTACACAAACACACACACACACACCCTACTAGTTCTGTTTCTCTGGAGAATTCTAATACAACTAGCAAAGGCAAAAATGATAATAATAATGGCTGTTTCAGATTAAAGAATGAGCAAACAAACTGAGCCCTAGTTCAAAAATTTGCATATTTAATTAGCCAGGCATTGTAGTGGGCACCTGTGGTCCCAGCTACTCTGGAGGCTGAGGCAGGAGAATCGCTTGAGCCCAGGAGGTGGATGTTGCAGTGAGCCAAGATTGCGCCACTGCACTCTGCACTCCAGCCTGGATGACAGAGTGAGACTCTATCTCAAAAAAAAAAAAAAAAAAAGTATGTATTAGCTCCTATCTCCCCTCTTTTCCCACTGTCAGACGTTCTTATTCCTAAACACTAAAGCTCTTTGGCTTCAATGACCTTCTCTGACTAATTCAGCCAGAAATCTGGAGATTTACTGCAAAATGAAAGAGACTAGTAAACAGAGAGGGGCCTACTTCTGTTTCCCAAATGAAAAAGGAGTTTCTTATTAGTGAGGCTGACCAGGCTGGTAGGTGGGTTCTCAAATTTGGCCTGTCCTATTAACTCTTTCAATCTAGCTGGGAACAGCAGCATGACTCCAAAGTGCTAGACTAGTGCTGATGCCATTGTTCTAGCCAGAGTAACTTTGTCAGTCTTTCTTATGAAAGAGTAAAGATTCAAGAGATTAAAACCTGAGTCTTTATTAAATATTAAATGGATCTGGAGGAAGCATCAGTTAAGGTTGAGGAAATTAATTGTACAGATTTGTCAAGGAATTGGAATCAAAGGGATTGTATACATCAAATTTATCTCACACAAAGTAAAATTATGGAAACTGCATATTGAAATACAATATAATTTGTATCTTTAGGTGAAAACTAAAATGTTCAGTGCTTTATCCTACTTATTTTGTACAAATTCCTAAGGTATTTTGTAATGAATGCAGTTATAAATAGGATTAAGACCCATAAAAAACATAAATAATAGATGAAATACCATATCTATTGCATGGTCCACTCTTCCACTGATCACTTACCTTGCAAAGTCACTGGCTAAGAGGCATTCAATTGGTTGCAATCATGAGCAAACATATTGAAATTTTTTCTCCTGTTGAGTTTCTCATCAGTAGTGCTCAGGGACCATCTCAAAGGCCTAAAATATCTATTAAACAGTCTGAGATCCAAGTATGGAAACCCCAGAGGGCTCATTAAGATCCTGATGATGCCATGGCTGGCTGGGTTTCAAGGAAGGGATAAATGGCAGCATAATGGGGCCAGATTTATTTTAGTCAAATCTGGACTAACCACAGGTAGCCATGTCTGGATACTGTAATTCAGAACTAAATATTATATCTAGTACCATTGGTCCATCTTCCACCTTAATAAATTGAAACTATCCTGCAAAGTGCTTGCTTGAAACATTCATCTAGGAATGCATATTGTCAGAATTTTAGTACTAGAGCCTTCACACACTGGAATTCAAATTCAGAAAAGCATGGTGTGTCAGATCAGTCTATGTCCAAATTTGTGTGTACTATTTTTTTAGTCAGGTTTATTGAAGTATAATTTACATAGAGTAAAAGTCAGCTTTTTTATTCTTGCAAACACATATAGTTGTGTAACCATCACCACAATCAAGATATAGAACACTTTAATCATTCAAAAAAATGCCCTTTTATAGTCAATCTTTTCCCCTTCCACCAGCACCTGGCAAACCACTGATCTGTTTTCTGTTCCAATAATTTTACCTTTTCCAGAATGTCTTTATTAGTCCATTCTCACGCTGCTATGAAGAAATACTTGAGACTGGGTAATTTACAAAGGAAAGGTTTAATTGACTCACAGTTCTGCATTGCTGGGGAGGCCTCAGGAAGCTTACAATCATGGCATAAGGCAAAGGAGAAGCAGGCACCTTATTCACAGAGTGGCAGGACAGAGTAAGTGTCAGCAGGGGAAATGCCAGACGCTTATAAAACCATCAGATCTCATGAGACTCATTCACTATCATGAGGACAGCAAGGAGGGAACCACCCCCATGATCCAATTACCTCCACCTGGTCTGACCCTTGAAACGTGGGGATTATGGAGATTTGGGGGATTACAATTCAAGATGAGATTTTGGGTGGGGACACAGCCAAACCATATCAATATTATATAAATGGAATCATATGGCATGTAACCATTTGAGTCTCATTTCTTTCACTTATTATAATACATTTGAGATTAATGCACATCATTGCATGCATCAGTAGTTTGTTTATTTTTATTGCCAGTTAGCATTCCATTGTGTGGGTATACCACAGTTTGTTTATCCATTCATCAGTTGATAGACTTCAGTTGTCTCCACTTTTTGTCTGTTATGAATAATGCTGCTATGAACATCCATGTACAAGTTTTTGTATGGACAAACGTTTTCATTTCTCTTGGGTAAATAAACACCTAGGAACAGAATTGCTGAGTCATAAGTGTGTCTTTAGTTTTTCAAAGTAGCTGTATCATTCTGCATTCCCACCAGAAATGCGTGAGAGTTCCAGTTGTACCACTTTTTGCCAGAACTTGATGCTGTCAGGTTTTTAAATTTTTTGGCATCCTAATGTGTGTATTTCATTTCCCTTATGACTAACAATTTGTATTAGTAATGCATTTATTTGCCATCCACATATCTTCTTTGGTGAAGTGTCTGTTCAAATCTTTTATTTTTAATTTGACTTTTTGTTTATTGAATTACAAGAGTTATTTATATATTGTGGATACCAGTCCTTTGTCAAATATGACACCTGGCTTTAAGAGGTGTATGTTATTACAGGCAACTGCTGACATAGTAGCACACAGAAAAATGATTCCTTCGTTGACCACAAAGAAAACTTTACTATGGCCAAACGTCCTTCAAGAAGCTAGCTGACAGGTGAAATCAAAACCACCAACATTTTTACCATATGGGAACTTTCCTAATGCCAACATCAATGTAGATAGAACACATTCTTTGCAGAAAAATGACCTAATTTCACATTGAAAGATGACAAAATTATGAGCTTAAAGTAAATGAATTTATCATACTAAAAGAATGTTTTAAAATTGGGAAAGTGGCACTTATAAGCTTTAGCAAATAATGTGGAAAGTTAGCTAAGTCATAATGTTCATACAGTATAACTGGGTATTTTGTTTAGATTGGACCATGATCTGAATATAAGAAAATTCAGATTGTTTACCAAGAAACTCCTGTGGCATCCTGGAATATAGAGTTTAGCAGAAGTAGGTATTGCGTATACAAGGGCCTCTCGTGACTTTCTACCATAAGTTTTTGTCAGTCAGAATATCCCAGGTCTATAATTCCTGTAACTTTCAGGCCTGTTACCAGTAATCATGTAGCTAGTATGTGTCAAATTTTAATTCACCTAAGAATCACCAGGAGAGCTTTTTAAAATCCCAATGTCCAACTTTAATTTGGGATCTTGACTCCAAGATCCCAAATTAATGGGTCTAAGGTAGTTTCTACATGTCTATGATGACACCAGGTGATACTGATGGGGTGTTCTATGCACTACAGAAAGACTGCCCTAATTCTTAGTGTGTACTTGACTTAGAAAGCTAGAGAACTGAGCTACAGCAGTATGGTTTTGAAATGCTGTATAACATTTTATGGGGCTTACCCTTAAACATGCCCTTCCAAAAGGCAGACCAGATATTCACAGTTCCTGCTAGCCACATTGACTACTATTGTGTAGTTTATTAATCAAAAATAATAAAAATAGATAACCCTTATAGATTGCCTTAATATTTTCAAGATATTGTAATAAACACTTTATATACTTATTTTAGGGCTTTCACATTGTTGTTTCATTTTGTTTTTTAGTTTTTAAAATAGTCGTTTGAGACAGGTGATATACTTATCCCCATTTTAAGAGGATGAAATTGAAGTTTAGGGAGTTTAAGTATTTTCCCCAAAGGTACAGAGCATAATTTATCTATCAAAACCTCAAGAACTAAAAAATAATAATAATTATATGCAGTACCTACTTCAACTAAATCTGCATTTGTTAGTCATCTATTGCTGCAAATACATTACCCCAAAATGTTTTTTAATGTTGTAAATATTTTCAATAATCCACCGGCTCTCCTGGCAAACAATCTGCATGAGTTGAAGTCCAGAGAGCCAGAGTCAGAATAAGGAAGAGTGCATATTCAAAGATATATTAAAATAATCAATATGCCAGATTATTTCAAAGTATAAGAAACAGAATTTTGTTGTTGTTTTTTTTTTTATTTGAAAGCAGTAGACTTCATTTAGTAGACGAATAATGCTGTTAAAGTCTTTACTGGTAATATACAAGAAAGTCATACTATATTGATGGTGTCAACTCAATTTTTTTCTGTCACCCAGGCTGGAGTGAAGTGATACGATCATGGCTCACTGCAATCTCAACTTCCCAGGCTCAGGTGATCCTCCCACCTCAGCCTCCCAAGTAGCTGGGACTAAAAGCATGTGCCACCACGCCTGGCTAATTTTTTGTATTTTTAGTAGAGATGGGGTTTCATTATGTTGCCCAGACTGGCCTCAAACTCCTGGGCTCAAGCAATCTGCCTGCCTCGGCCTCCCAAAGTGCTGGAATCATAGGCATGAGCCACCCTGCCTGATCAGTGTCAGCTCAATTGAAGGGCAAAAAGAATGCTATGCCTGAATAGTGCACAGTTCAAATGAACACAAGAATAAGTCTGAATTAATAGAAGAAGAAGAGAAAGATAGAAAAAAAGAAGAAGGAGGAGGAGGAAGAAGAGGAGGGGAGAAGAGGAGAAACCTCACTCAAATGTATTCCTCTTTGAATGTTTTAAGAAGTCACACAGAATTTGGACCTGAGCAAAGCCTACTTGTTCTCTGTGACCATGTCATATTTATTTCCTACAGAAACAGAAATCCTCATGAAGTTCACATCAAACATCTATGGGTTTGGTGGGGGATGAAATGATTCTGGCCATAAGCTGTTATTCTAATTCCATCAAACCTTCCTTAGTCTACATGACCATGGAGAATCATTTCAGAGAGTTTCTTGGGTTGAGTCAGCAGGTGTCAGTGCAGGTGGGGCCATGGAGTAAATGTCTGAAAAGCAGAAAAAGTTTTGACATAATTTAGGTCATCAAATAAATATCCTGTGACTTTTTAAGAGGATGTTTGAAATAGCAAGGTGGATGTTAATAGAAATACATATTTTAGGTTGGGTGCAGTGGCTCACACCTGTAATCCCAACGCTTTGGGAGGCCGAGGCGGGCAGATCATGAGGTCAGGAGTTCGAGACCAGCCTGACCAACATGGCAAAACCCGTCTCTACTGAAAATACAAAAATTAGCCAGGTGTGATGGTGAGCACCTGTAATCCCAGCTACTCAGGAGGCTGAGGCAGGAGAGTCACTTGAACCCGGGAGGCAGAGGTTGCAGTAAGCCAAGATCATGCCATTGCATGCCAACCTAGGCAACAGAGCAAGACTCCATCTCAAAAAAAAAAGAAAGGAAGGAAGAAATATGTATTTTTAAATATAACTATCCCTGAAGTGCTGAGAAACTGATTTACCCACATGCTCTTCATTTTGAACTTGGACTACTTCTGCCACCTACTCTGTTTCCCCTTCCAATTTTTGAGTCATAGGAAATTATTTCATTGCTTTTATTTTCACCAGGGATGGGCAGGGGAAGGAAACTGAAGCATATTAAATGTGCTACTTGTTAGGTGCTTTGTGGGAAGACAATTGAGATTTTGTTTGCTTGGCTGTTTTTTAAGACTGAAGTGGGACTTCCAGCCTTGGTAGGGTGACGAGGTCAGTAAATCCTCTCTCCCCTCCCCATCCAAGAAACTGGAAAACTGGAGAATATTGTCCAAAAGTACCACTTCAAGGCTCTTTGATATGTATTGCAAATATTTTTTCTCAGTTTATCATTTGTCTCTTAATTTTACTTATAATGATTTTTCCATCAGAAAATTTTCAAGTTTATATGGTTGACCTCTGAGATTTATGCCATATTTGTAAAGAATTTTCGCACCCTGAGAAAGGTCTCATAGTCACTGGGAAACCAATTTACACTAGTCATTATCTTGCATTAATTTTCTTGGTTTTATTTTTGGTTTCTTGATGAGATTTGGAAAGCAATCTAGAGTCCTGGTGGGAGATTGAGATAATGCTCTAGTTTCCTGATAAGATTTGAAAAAGCCTTAGCTTCATTAGCAGCATATTTTTAAAACATCATCTGTTCTGTGACAAGTTCTCCCATTTCGCTGTGTCTAGATATCACCTAGAAAACTTGTTTAAAATACTGATTCCCCACTCTGACTTCCAGAGAGAGAGTTGGGTGAGGTCTGGGAAATCTGCCTTTTTAATCAAGTTCCAAATGACAGTGATGTGGATCATCTGCCAGGTGCACTCTTTAATACCCTGGTTCAAGGGGCATTTTATTGCATTTGATTAAATTTAGGCTAGGTCTTCCATAGGGGAGTATATCAATCAGGATCCCAGTAGGAGACAAACGTTGCATTCAAATTAAGATATACTGTTTGCAAGGGTGTGGGCAAGGAAGAGGGGACCACAGGGGGAAATAAGAGAATGCTGCTGTAGGCCGGGCACAGTGGCTCACACTTGTAATCCCAGCACTTTGGGAGGCCAAGGCAGGCAGATCACGAGGTCAGGAGATTGAGACCGTCTTGGTTAACATGGTGCAACCCCGTCTCTACTAAAAATACAAAAATTAGCCAGGCGTGGTGGCGGGCACCTGTAGTCCCAGCTACTCGGGAGGCTGAGACAGGAGAATGGTGTGAACCCAGGGAGGAGGAGCTTGCAGTGAGCTGAGTTCATGCCACTGCACTCCAGCCTGGGCAACAGAGCGAGACTCCATCTCAAAAAAAAAAAAAAAAAAAAAAAAAAGAGAGAGAATGCTGCTATAACCTCTGGACCTGAAGGCATGATGAGAGGGAATGGTTACTACAGCTGGAGAGAGTCCTATATGGTTGGTCCCCTTGAGAGGAGCAGTAAATATGGCTGATCTCTTTGGTCAAGGGACACAGCCAAACTGAGTTGGCAAAAGTGGAGAATACATACCCTGACTTCATCTCCCTTGACCCTCCACCCCCAACCCTGATTTCCTGCTAGAGGTCCCCATAAGCCGTGGGTGTGAGCCCTTGAGGTTGCCCATAGGGGTCAGCCTCCTGGGGCAGAAAGTAGGGTGGAGAAAGGTGGCAAGTAGATCTGAGGAATAAGGAAAGGATATCTGGCACAGGACCTATGGAAGAATTACATCACAGAGTACAAAATGTGTGACAGAGAAAGAAAAGCCACAGGGAAACAGGCAAGCCAGTGATTCTTAAAGGGAAGTCATGGGAAAGAAGATTTGGGAGTAAAACTTATCATCTGGTATTTAAATAAGAAAACCGTATTTTCTGTACCATAGATTGGAACAAATAATCTATGCTTTGCTTTGAAAAGTTATTACAGGTAATGTTTTATGTTGGTTGCACATTTAATTAACAGTCTTATTGAAAAGTAAATTTATATTAAATTATTAAATTAAATCTGGCCTAATTCTAGAAAATGACGTTATTGTATCCATATCCCAAACAAACAAGCCACAAAAAAATTGTTCATTTTACTGCTGAGTTTTAAGTTGACTTCACCCTGTACCAACTTTCTGATAAGAGTGAACCACAAATGCCAACAAAAATTGATAGTAATCACCCTGGAGCCTGCCCTTTCCACACCCAACCAGCACTGGCTTGGATTCTGTCTATGTCAAACTTGAAAGCTCTGGCCCTGAAAACTGTATCTCTATTCTGCATTAACCTTTTTGACTTATTTTTGGAGTAGACCTGGTATCATAGGTATTCACTGGTTATCAGTTATTCTTTGCCACGCAGGATTGCTGGGATTGATTTTGCTTACTTCAGATTTAGTGTGGCTTTTTTGTGCATTTAATATTCAGCATGGTCTGGGAAGTGGCTATTTGCATTTCTAAATATCCTCATCAACAGGAAGGAATCAACAGTGATCCTTTTAGTGACATGCACAACTGCCAACATCTTACAGTCATTTCCAGAATCTCCTGGTTCATTTAGCAAATACCACATATGAGCCATCACAGTAACTCAATTGTCAAGCGCGTTGGTGCCAATTAAACTGTTTTTCTTTTCTTCTCAAGATGTTTCTCTCATTTCCCTACGGGCTGTTCTACGGTTCTGTTGGAAGTCAAAATCTAGTAAGAGCAGAGCATCTGATATATTTGTGTCTTTCCTTGTAGAACAATTTCATCAACAGGAAGGTAAAGAAAGCAATGAGGAAAACAGTTATGTTGAACTTAATTTTAACCAACAAAGATCTGGTTAATGATTTAAACATGACCAAAACCTTGGGAGAAAGGAATGATATCATTTAAAGTTAGTCCCTGACCAGGCGCCGTGTTGGACCCTGCATTAAGAGAGAAGCATGCAGTGGCAAAGCCGTACCTTCACAGTGCTCATTGCTCATTGGCCATCTCTAGGAACAAACACAGAACTGCATGCAAATCTCTGTGAAGTCATGGTGTTGCAAGGGCTCATGTCCAGTTGTACTTTTTAAATTGGAATCTATTGTCCTAATGTTTTATTTGTTGAGATTTGTGGTGTGATTCAAAATGTGAAAGATACAAAAGGAAATGCAATAGAAATTCTGTCACTCTGTTTCTTAGCTACCTAGTTCTTCTCCCTATGAGCAGTTCATTTTACCAGTTTCTTGAGAATCCTTTCAAACAAAATACTTTGCATATGTAAACAAATGCAAATAATATATTTTATCAAAGCTAAGATGCCATGGTTTGCAAGATGTGCCATTGTTGCGTATACTACTGCAAAAGAAAAATTTTCAAAGCCCTGTCAATTAAACTACGATATGGTATCTATTACACAATGCATTCTAATTTCAGAGACAACAAATGTGAAAATGTATGCATCTTAGAATGAATGAGACTAAGTGTGGTGGCTCACTCCTGTAATCCCAGCACTTTGGAAGGCCAAGGGAGGATCACTTGAGCCCAGGACTTTGATACCAGCCTGGGCAACATAGCAAGACCCCCGTCTCTACAAAAAAAAAAAGTAGCTGAGAATGGTGGTGCATGCCTGTAGCCCCAGCTACTCAGGAGGCTGAGGCAGGAGCATCACTTGAGCCCAGGATTTCCATGGGCAACATAGTAAGACTCCAACTCTTTTTTAAAAATTGTTTTAAAAGACGAACTTATGTCTGACATAAAAGAAAACACAAAGTATTATGAAATCTAGATCTTTTACAGAAGTTACACCCTCTGAGCCTGAACAAATACAAACCACGGCACTAAAACAAACACAGAGGTATGACAATTAGTGTTGTGGACTTTTGTGAAATAATGAAGAAAAGAAGAAGGGACTTTAGAAGAGGTAAAAGATTATTACTGGCCGGGTGCGGTGGCTCACGCCTGTAATCCCAGCACTTTGGGAGGCTGAGGCAGGCAGATCACGAGGTCAGGAGTTCGAGACCAGCCTGACCAATATGGTGAAACCCCGTCTCTACTAAAAAATACAAAATTTAGCCAAGCGTGGTGGCACACGCCTGTAGTCCCAGCTACTCAGGAGGCTGAGGCAGGAGAATCGCTTGAATCAGGGAGGCGGAGGTTGCAGTGAGCCAAGATCGTGCCACTGCACTCCAGCCTGGGTGACAGAGTAAGGCTCCATCTCAAAAAAAAAAAAAAGATTATTACAAATCTGGAAACTGTAGATTAGAAGAAACACAGAGTAGTGAAATTTTCCATCCACAACAAGGTTGTGAATACATTATTAAACAGATGGTTTGTTAGATTTAAAGAGTAAAAATGGCATACATTTTTAATTTTTAAAAAAGGAGATGATTAGAAAGAACCAGGAATATACACAGGATTATGCCACAGCTGGGTTGTGGCTGTGATATGGGGAAAGAACCAAGGAGATACTTGCTTTGGCAGGCCCTTAAATGAGTATACCCTATATAGAATTTCCTTTCTCTGATGCTGTGAGTGACACACTACAGAGAACAACAGGTATAACAGGGTGAAGAATGGAACTGGTTCAAGTTCTGTTTCAGACAATAACTAGTGAGCATGGGCAAGTCACTTCATTTTGTTTTTCCTTCTCTAAAATAAGGAGATTGCATCTATTAATTCCTAAATTCCTTTCCACTAATTCCATTGTATTGCTAATCTGATAGGTCAGGAAAATCTGGAAGAGCTAGAGTTATTTGATGTAATCAAAATGTCTGATATTATCTGTGATATATTGGTGGAAGTGATGAAGAAATGTGGATTAGGTTCCCATCGAATTCCAATCAGTCTGATATCTGGGACCTCATGAGAGGCCTGGAGCAGAGCCACTCAGCTAAGCCGTTGCTGGATTCCTGACTCTGAGTTGGTGTAAGACAATATATGCTTATAGCTTTAAGCCACCAGGTTTTAGGGTAATTTGTTTTACAGCAATATAGGACTAGGACTAATATGCACACTTGAAGAGACACTGACAAACCTAAGTATGTCCCAAGAAGGACAGCCAGGAGGGCACTAGGTTTGAAGTCCTGTCACATGTGGAATACACTTGAGGTGGTAAGTAGGGCGGGTCTAATGAGGACCTGATGGCTGTGTACAAGTATCTTCCAGCCTATGAAGGAGTGGGCAAACCTTCTGTATGTGATTCCAGGAGGCAAAATAATGGTGAAAGTAGCTTTGGGTTCTTATTTAGAAATCACTTTCTAACAGTTATAACTGACCCATGTGAGAAAGGGGCCCAGAAAGAGATTTAACAGAAGGGTCTCATCTGAGGCTTGATGATGCTGTCAGAAATGTTGCTGCAGAGGTCCCTACATGGGAAGAAAAGATGTCTCCGTACGGATCTCAGGGTTTGGGATTCTGTTTTAGGATACTCCATCTGCAATTCAGAGTGGATCACAGCTAAGCTCTTAGCTTAAATGGATATAAAGAGATGTTCCTTCTGCATGAAACTACAAGGTATTGGAGTTCAGGATCTCTGCCCAGTGCTGAAGCCTGAACAAAAATGTGACAGCTTACCCACCCACCTTGTGGGGTGAGGATTTTCACAATTATGTTATTCTACATCTTCACCAACCTCTAACATTTTCTATGTGTTTTCACATACCTTCTCTGGTTTGAGACCAACACTGTGAGTAGGTGGCAGGAATGACTTGCCTCTTTTGTATAGAAGAGGACTCTGAGACTCAGAGCCATTAAGTGATTCACTTGGAATCACACAGCTGGTAACTAACTAGTTAGGCAGGGACTTGGTGCCTGGATCCTGTTCATGTTCTAGGAGAAATGTCACAGGAAAGCTGAACTTCAGGTGAATAGATCTTGCTTGGAAGATGACCAGAAGAGTCTTTGGGAAACTTTAAGCCTAATTAGAGCAAATGAACCAGTGAAGGAGATACTAGTCTCAATCTGTATTTACAACATGCCTTTCCAGAGACAGCCTTCCACCTGCCTTTTCTGAACCAAACTTGTTAATTGAAGGAATAAGTGTGTGGTTGCTTGATTTGAAAATCAGACACTTAGACAGTTTCCTTTACTGGAAAAAAAAAAAAAAACAACAACAACCAGTTATCTTCTAAGGAAGATAAGGGGCAGTGAGAAGGAAGTGTGATTTTCTGAAACTGTGGGGGTGCAAGAGAAAAATTGGTGATAATAACCGGGAAAGTGAGTGTTTAAAGCCTTATATTCCCTGTGGTAAGCTGAACCTTTTTCTCTTAAAAGCTTAGCTTCTGCTCACTGGGTAATTTCTTATAAATATTTGGAGGGAAAGGGAGACTCTGGCTTTGTTCCTAGTTATGCCACCCCTGAAAGCTAATGGCCCAGTTCAAACAGGGTGAGTATACCTTTTCCAGGATAATGTGTCCTACAGGCTGAGGGAGGGTGGATTGGGGGAATGGGGGAACTAGAATAGGAAAAGTAAATAGAGCAGCCTCCTTTTTCAAATAAACTTTTGGCTCACACCTGCACTGGTCACTAGGCCTGGGTAGAAACGAGCCCGAAAGCCCGAGATAGGCAAATACTCTCGTTATCTTTTCATCTCTGAGTGATCAGTGGTCCCGAGGTAACCTAGGAGCCCAGGTCTCCAGCGAGCCATGTGAAAGCTCTGTGTCATTTCATACACAGGGTGGTATTTCTTTCTTAAACAATCACTCCAGACTCATTTCATCAGAGTTAGTTCCTCCTTTCCAGGGACTCTGAAGATATTTTTCTGCTGTCTATGGGGAAAGAATGATGGAGAAGCCTGAACCCAAAGGTTCCCTCATTCATCCTTTGCCTTCAACCTTAAACCTTTTCTAAGGAGGCAGAAATTCCTAGCGTGAAAAACATGGGATTTGGAACCCAATAGAGCACCAGGAATCCTATTTCCATCACTTACAAGATGTGTGAATATAGGCACATTATGTCCTTCTGGGGCCAGTTTTCACATATATAAAACAGAATACTACGACTACTTACTTCATGAGATTCTTGTGAGGATTGGATGAGATTGTGTATGTAAAACATCTAACATGGGTCCGGGGTCATGACACTTGCACAACAAATATTATTTCCTTTGCTTCCACCTTCTACTCCTAGCTCTGCCAGAATCTCCAACTATGTCAGTTACCTGAGCAGATTCACCTAGAGGAGTGAATCTACCAAATGTCCCGTTCTTATGGAAGCCTAAAAGCTCATAGAGAGACATTCCTGAGTTTTACTCCCAGGAAGGAGAAATGTTTGTACTGAACAATCCACTGTACTGTTTATCTGGCTTTTGTGTGTCCAAGGGCATGCATTTGAAGACAATTGACCAAGATGAGGGGCACTATCTCTAGCTAGGACCAGGATAAAATGTGTGGTGAGGAGAACTTATGAATTTGTGTTTAGCTATGGAGCAAGGCACAGGCTAACCGGCCCTCTTACAGTCAAAGTTGGGATGCTAAAGAAAGACTCCAAGCAAACTTGCAGAGTCCACGAGCTCCTCTTTCTGACCCCCAGACTCCCCTTTTTGGATCTTTATTTCTTTTAAGCCCTCAGCAAGCCCATGCCCTCTGAATTAGCTTCCCATGGCTGCTGCAACAAATTAACACACAATGGGAGATTTCAAGAAACAGAAATTTGTTCTCTCACAATTCTAGAGCCCAGAAGTCCAAAGTCAAGGTGTCAGCTGGGCCTTCCCCCTTCCAGAGGCTGAAGGGGAGAAACCTTCCTTGCCTCTTCCAGCTTGTGGTGGCTGTCTGCATTCCCTAGCTTCCGTGGCTTGTGACCTCATCACTCCACTCTCTGCCTCTGTCTTCAAGTCACTTTCTCTTCTGTGTCTGCATCAATGTCTATTTCACTCTTATAAGGATACTTGCCATTCAATTTAGGGCCTACCTGGATAATCCAGGATGATTTCTTCATCTCAAGATCTTTAACTTAATTATATTTGTAAAGATTCTTTTTCCAAATAATAGTCACAGTTCCAAGGATTAGGTTCCAGAGATTAAGACATGGACATATCTTTTTGAAGGCACTGTGCAAGCCACTATACCACCTAAACCTTTTTATCTTTAATTAATTTTTTTTTTTGAGACAGGATATTGCTTTGTTGCCCAGGCTGGAGTGCAGTGGTACAATTACAGCTCACTGCAGCCTCAACCTTCTGGGCTCAAAAGATCCTCCCACCCCAGCCTCCAGAGTAGTTGGGACTACAGGTATGCACCACCATGCCTGACTAATTTTTTTATTTTTTGTAGAGGAAAGGTCTCACTGTGTTACCCAGGCTAGTCTCAAACTCCTGGCCTCAAGTGACCCTCCTGCCTCAGCCTTCCAAAGTTCTGGGATTACAGGTGTCAGCCACCATACCTGGCCTAACCCCTATTAGGGAGCTGACCAACTAATTCTGGCAATGTGAGTCCATGTATTACTCTTCCCAGGGGTATTTGCACTAGAAATATCACAATAACCTAAAAGAAAAGGGCAATTATTAATTCAAAAGGAAAAATAGTCGCCAATAGTGCCATTTTAGGCATAGCAAGGAACTTTTTCTTTTTATCATTTTCTTCTCATCAGTGAGAAAACTTTTCCTGGAAAGCTCTCTCCAGAAAACTCTCCAACTCTCACTTCTCACTGTATAGTTTTGTATCATATGCTCATTCCTAAACTACTCTTAGGCACGGGGGATGCATTATACCTCCTATGACTGGCTTAGAGCCTTAGACTGACCAGGAATTCACTCCAGCAGCTGAGAAAGTAGGGAGGACCCAGCCTCTGAGAAACATATAACTTCCCATCAATAATAGAACAAAACAAGGGAGTAGAGATTGGTGAGTGGTTTTTGGAAGGCAATCACCAGTGTCTGCACTCCATGTAAGTTATTTCCTTTCCCACTGGCCATTGGGTTGATCCTGCTATGTAGGCTGCTTCACCACATGGAACATACCTTGTTGGGAGCACTTGACTGAAAGGCATAAAAAAATTGGACATTTCTGATGTGCAATCGTGATACTTCTGAAATGCAAGAGTCTGTGGGAGAAGGCATTTTTCAATATTCTTTCAAAAGACACCTACCTAATCATCAGAGAAATAGCCAAGGATGTCCACTCAGTATTTTTAAACTACTGAGGTTTTAGGCCAGGCACAGTGGCTCATGCCTGTAATCCCAGCACTTCGGAAGGCCGAGGTGGAAGGATGGCTTGAGCTCAGGAGTTTGAGGCTAAAGTGAGCTATGATCGTGTCACTGCACTCCAGTCAGGGCAACAGAGTGAGACCCCAATCTCTAACAAACAAACATACAAAACCGAGGTTTCAAAGCACCAGGAAGAAAGTTCTTTTCAAAACTCAGAATGTCTCCTTAGAAAAATGTTTGCCTACTCAAATATCGCCTGAAGATGGGTTCTCAAAAATTTAGAGGAATAAGTGTCAAGATATCTGGATTTAAATCAGCCTGGAGACTATATAGGGAAATTAGCCATATCTAACTCAGCCTGATTCTGAACCTGTGACCTGTAGGTAAAGGCTGAAACTTTTCCCTCCAGAGAAAATGTGAAAGCAGCAGTTTTCTTTGGGCAGCCCCTGCTTTTGAGTTAGCCAGGAACCCACCTCTCACTGGCACTACACTCAGGAGGCTTACACGTGCATTTGATACTCTACCAGTTTTATTCTATGAGTTACTGCCTTAGATTATTCTTTTCTTGTTATTACCCTTGTCTTTCAAGTCTACCTCAGGTTTCTTCAAAGCACAAAGGCTCTGGGCATCTTACCCACTGAGCAGCACTGATAAGAGTATAGGTTTGGGCACTGGAGCATTGGGAGAAAAACTATTGCTTCATTATGCAGTTGTACTGTAATGAGATGTATCTTATCTTACTCACGCCATTATACCAGAGACCTGCAATTGGCTGGCAACCTACCAGCCATGTCTGGCCTGCAATAATTTTTAACTTTTAAATTAGTTGCATTCAATAGATACTGGGGACTGCTAGAGCAGAGCAAGGGTTGAAAAACTAACTATTGGCTACTATGCTCACTACCTAGGTGATGGGATCAATCATACCCCAAACCTTAACATCATGCAGTATACCCGTGCAACAAACCTGCACATGTACTCCCTGAATCTAAAATAAAAGTTGAAATTATGTTTTTTAAAAATAAAAAAATTAGTTGCATATTAAACATTTAAAAATTTTAAAACAAAAAGAGGAAGGTTTGGATTTGAATATTTGTCCAATCCTTCCCACTCTCTCCTCTCCTTCCAGGACTCCAGTTACTTGTATATTAGGATGCTTAAGTTGTTCCACAGCTCATTGATGACCTTTTTATTGAAATCTTTTTTTCTCTCTGTGTTTCATTTTGGATCATTTCTATTGCTGTATTCAAATTCACTGAATCTTTTCTTCTGTAATGTCTATGCCATTAATCTCATCCAATGTGTTTTTCTTCCCAGATATTGTAGTGAATATCTCTAGATTTTTTACTTAGGTCTTTTAAATATATTTTGTCTCTATTTAGCCTTTTGAACATTTGTAATTCAGTTATAATAACTTTTAATGCCCTTGTCTGCTAATTCTAACATCTGTGCCAGTTCTAGGTCAGTTTCAATAGATTGATCTTTCTCCTTATTATGGGACATATTTTCTTGCTTCTTTGCATAATGTTAATTTTTGGTTGGATGCTGACATTGTGAATTTTAACTTGCAACACAATGGACATTTTTGTATTCCCTTGAATATTCATGAGCCTTATTCTGGGGCATGGTTAAATTACTTGGAAATAGTTTGGTCCTTTTAGGTCTAGTTTTTTAAATTGTTAGGTACAGCTAGATCAGTGCTCAGTCTAGAGCTGATTATTCCCCACCACGAATGCAAGACCTTTCTAAATCTTCTAATCAATGCCTGTGAATCCTGAAGTTTCCTATTCTGGCTGGTGGAAAGAGATACTATTCTTGGCCCTGTGGGAGCAGCATACACTATTCTCTCTAATCCTGTCCCGTAGTTCTTTCCCAGGCTTCAGGTAGTCCCCCCAACTCCAACCCCCCATCCCATGCACTCATCAGTACACAGATGAATACTTGAGGGAACCCTCTTCACTTATACAGAGGAGCCCCTCTATGTGCTTCTCACCTCTCTAGCGCTGTGTCATGAGGCTCTAGCATTGTGGTCTCCCCAGACTGTCAGCTCCGTCTCCTCAACTCAGCAATCTCCCAGGCTCTGCCTGGAGTCCCCCTCACTGCATCATAGCCTAGAAACCCTCTCAATGCATTAAGCTGAGTCACAGGACTCACCTTGTTTTCTATCTCTTCACTGTTGCCTGACATTAGCATCTAGAAAAATCATTGTTTCACATATTTTGCCTTTTTTATGTTTGTTTCAGAGAGTAAACCCTATCTCTGTTAGTCTATCTTATTTAGAAGTGAAAGTTTTTCTCATTCTTTTAAAATTTCATTTTAATTTTTATTTTGCATGTAAAATAAATAGTACATGTATGGTAGTACCTGTAAAAAAAGTTATTAAGAATTAAATCTACATAGGCTGGGGGCATCCAGTTCTGGAAGATGGAGTAAGCAGCTAGGAACCTAAACAGAATGCTTAGAGAAGCCATCCAAAGGCTCTGAAAAGTAAATGATAACAGACATACAAGGGAAAGAAACCAAAATTTGAAGTACTAATGAGTTGGTGGCGATTTTTATTTTTTTCTCTTCCATGTCTCCCAGCCTGGACTCAAACAAAGACCAAGAACTGTGGGCCCTGAGAAAAGCTTTTCTTTCTGGTCTGAAGAGCAGGAAGAGGGCCCCTGCGGGATACAGAGATTTGGAGGGAATCTCCTCCCTCATTTTAACTTTCTCTCCCATCTCAGCCCCAGGTGAGCCCCAGATACAAAATCACAATCGTGTGATGGCAGTGGCTGCCAACAGACACATAAAACCCAGAGAGAGAGGAATGCTTCTCTCTAATCATTGGAACTGTGATCCTAAAAATGTAGAGCAAATCCCAGGTGCTTTTTTCTCTATTTATCCTCCTGCTGCTTTTCCCCGGAGGTAGACTTAGTTGTAGGAAACAAATTGGAGAGCAAAGAGACTAAAGCCCTAGATTTCCATCAGAAGACCAGGAAGGGAGATGTGTTTAATATATATTTAAGATAACTGAAATAATACCAGGTTTACCGAATAATACCAAATGGAATTAAAGTAGCGCTCAACAACAGAAAGACATCTGAAAAATCCCCCAAAACTTAGACATCTAAATAATGCTTATAAATAACCTATAGATCAAAGAGGAAATATCAAGGGAAATTATAAAGTATTTTGAACTAAATGAAAATGATGTAACTAAAGCAATGCTTAGAGGGAAAGTTTTAGCACTAAATGCTTAAATGAGAAAATAAGAATAGAAAGAAAACTATAGACTGATAATCTGTCATGGTATAGATGCAAAAATTCTTTTAAAAATGTAGCAAATCTGGCCAGACACAGTGGCTCATACCTGTAATCCTAGCACTTTGGGAGGCCAAGGTGGGTGGATCACTTGAGCTCAGGAGTTCAAGAGCAGCCTGGGGAACACGGTGAAACACCGTCTGTACAAAAAATTATCCGGGCCTGGTGGTGCACACCTGTAGTCCTAGCTACCCAGAAGGCTGAGGTGGGAGGATCACCTAAGCCCGGAAGTTCAAGGCTGCAATGAGCCATGATCACGCCACTGCACTCTAGCCTAGATGAATAGAGTAAGACACTGAAAAAAAAAAAAGAAAAAGAAAGAAAGAAAAATTAGCAAGTCAAATACAGCAATATATAAAAACAATAATAAAAACCAAGTGGAATTAATTTTTGGAAGACAAGGCTGGTTCAACATTTTAAAATCAGTCACTGTAATCCACCATATTAATGTCTGAAGAAAAAAATGTTTGTACAAAAAGGTACAGAAAAAGCATTTGACAAATTTCAACATACATTCATGACAATAGTTTTTTTGGTATAATTATGTCTCATGGAATGTTTTGGACATAATTATGCTAAAAATTATTCCTTGTTTATCTGAAATTCAAATTTAGCTGGATAGCATGTATATTGTCTGGGAACCATATAAGATCCAAAATGATTTTATAGACTTGATGAATAAGAATCAAAATATTAGCAGGATTTTTTAAAACATAAGCAAGCTGATTCTAAAATGTATATGAAAAGGCAAAGGACATAGAATAAACAAAACAATTTGAAAAAGAAGAATAGAGTTAGCTCACCCTAACCATTTTAAAACTTAGTCTAAAGCGAAGTATAATAATTTTAAGACCCTGTGGTATTGATGAAACTATACACACAATGATCAATGGAACAAAATAGGCAATCCAGGAATAGATCCACAAAAATATGATCAATTGATTTTTGAAGATAGATTTTTTTATTGAGATAAAATTGACATAAAATACATCATTTTAACCATTTTAAAGTACAAAATTGACAATTTTTGAAAAAGGTATTAAGGCAATTCAATGGATAAAGGATAATCTTTTCAACAAATGGAACAACTGAACATCCATATGCAAAAAAATGAACCTTAAGCTATATATCAGAGTATAATCTATAGAAAAATTAACCTCAAATGGATCATAGATCTAAATGCAAAACTAGAAACTAACATGTTTATTTTAAAACATATGTTTTTGATAATGTTTAGCTATGACATCAAAATCCAATTCATAAAAGCAAAAAAAGATAAATTAGACTTAATCAAAATTAATTTTTTTTTGGCTAAAAACATTGTTAAGTATTTAAGAATTAAAAGAACAAGCTGTAAACTGGGATCAAATATTAGCAAATTGTATATCCAACACAGGATTTGTATCCAGAATATGTAAATAACTTTCAAAACAATAATAAGAAAACAACAATACAATTTTAAAAATAGGCAAAATATGCGAATGAACATTTCAACAAAGAAGTTACGCAGATGGCAGATAAAGATATGAAAAGTTGCTCAAAATCATTAGCCATTAGGGAAATGAAAATTCAGACCACAATAAGGTACTACTCCACACCTATTCGAATGACTATAATTCAAACACCGCCCTCACCACCAACACCAAACGAGAACACCAAGTACTAGTGAGGAAGCAGAGCAGCTGCAAGAAATTCTCCCACATTGCTGGTGGAAATGCAAAATGCAGACACTCTGAAATCTGTGTGGCAGATTCTTATAAAGTTTAACATGTACTTACAATATAACCCTGCCATCCCACTCCTAGATGTTTGCCCTAGAGAAATGAAAACTTGATGCTTACAGAAAAACTTGTACATGAATGTCTATAGCAGCTTTATTCATAATCAACCAAAACTGGAAATGCATTAAATGCCCCTCAATGACTGAATGGCGAAGTAAATTGTAATGCATTCATTCAATGAATCATACTCAGCAACAAAAAGGAACAAAGTATTGATATGATCAATGACATGGATGAAGCTCAAAGACATTTTGCTAAGTTTAGTCTCAAAGGTTTCTGAAAGAAACAAGTCTCAAAGGTTACCTATGGTACAATTCCATTTATAAGATATTCTGGAAAAGGTAATACTACAGAGATGATGAACTAATCAGTGGTTGCCAGAGGTTAGGTGCTGGAGACAGAGTTTCACTACAAACTGGTAACATGAGAGAATTTGGGGAGGAGGTAATGGAACTGTTCTGTATTGATTGGTGCTTGCACAGATCTATATATATTAAAGCTCAGAGAACTGTACACACACAAAAATTAATTTTACTCTTTGTAAATAAAAGAAAAAGATGATGCAAAAGATGTTTGGTCTTTGGATGCCTTTGGTAACAAAAAGAGAAAAACAAAGTTTGGAACTGGGACAGGCTCCTTATTTTACAATTGGAGAAACTTCAGCCAAAGAATGAAAGTAACTTAATCAAGGTCAAAAGAATTAACAAGCAAATACAGGAGTAGATTTTCTTTCTGGAAATATTTCTCATCCCTGTCCCTGACCCAGGCCCATTCTGGCAAGTTTAACTTAGCGTCTATTTTTCTTTAGGGAATATTCTAAGTTCAGAGTTTCTGTGGAAGACAGAACAGAATCATGTGCAAATTAAAACAAAAGAAATATAAATGCTATATATATAAATATGCTCACATGCATATAAAAGCGATATGGTTTGGCTGTGTCCCCACCGAATCTCATTTTAGATTCCCATGTGTTGTAGGAGGGACCCAGTGGGAGGTAATTGAATCATGGGGGCAGGTCTTTCCCATGCTGTTCTCATGATAGTGAATAAGTCTCACAAGATATGATGGTTATAAAAAGGGGAGTTTCAGTCAGGCGCGGTGGCTCATGCCTGTAATCCCAGCACTTTGGGAGGCCAAAGCGGGTGGATCACTTGAGGTCAGGAGTTTGGGACCAGGCTGATCAACATAGAGAAACCCTGTTTCTACTAAAAAATACAAAATTAGCCAGGCATGGTGGCGCATGCCTGTAATCCCAGCTAGTTGGGAGGCTGGGGCAGGAGAATCGCTTGAACCCAGGAGGCAGAGGTTGCGGTGAGCCGAGATTGTGCCATTGCACTCTAGCCTGGGCAATAAGAGCAAAACTCTGTCTCAAAAAAAAAAAAAAAGAAGAAGAAGAAGGGTGGGGGCAGTTTCATTGCACAAATGCTCCTCTCTTTGCCTGCCGCCCATCCATGTAAGATACAACTTGCTCCTCCTTGCCTTTGCCATGATGGTAGGGCTTCCCCAGCCACATGAAACTGTAAGTCCAATTAAACCTCTTTCTTTTGTAAATTTCCCAGTCCCGGGTATGTCTTTATCAGCAGTGTGAAAACGGACTAATACAAAAAGATACATGTGTATCTCCTGTTTTGCAGATTGTGAAGTTGGCACGAGCCCAGCTCATAATGGATAGACCTATGGCTGACTATGAGAAAAGGTGTCTGAAGGATGGCCCAGATAGCAAAACAAATAAGCCAGTAAGCAAACAAATGGGGGAGCCCTGGAGTTGGACCGCCTGTCTATAAATCCAGGCTCTGCTACCTACTCGATGTGGGATGATCCTGTGGACATTGCTTAGTTTTTTACCACCTTACTGGGTTCATTTATAAAAGGTATCCTAATGTAAAGTACTACAGGAGATTAAAACAAAAAACTCACCAGCAACTATAGTAGTATGCCAGTACTTTCTCATCATGGATTACATAAGATGATAGTATGTGACAAAAATGTGCATCTTAGAATTGGAGAAATATGGTAATATATATTTCGTTTGGCTTTTCTGATGATTAAAGAGTTGTTAAGGCCAGGTGCAGTGGCTTGCATCTGTGATCCTGGCACCTCAGGAGGCCGAGGTGGGAAGATAGCTTGAGCCTAGGAGTTCAAGACCAGCCTGGGAAACATAATGAAAGCCTGTCTCTATCAAAAATATATATATATTATTATTTTTTAATTAACCAGGCATGGTGGTGTTGGTTCCACGTACTCAGGAGGCTGAAGTGGGAGGATCACTTAAACATGGGAGGTCGAGGCTACAGTGAGCTGTGATTGCACCACTGCCCTCCAGTCTGGGTGACAGAATGAGATTCTGTTTCAAAAAAAAAAAATTGTTAAGGCCGGGTGTGGTGACTCATGCCTGTAATCCCAGCACTCTGGGAGACCAAGGCAGGTGGATCACCTGAGGTCAGGAGTTTGAGACCAGCCTGGCCAACATGGCAAAACCCCGTCTCTACTAAAAAAAACAAAAATTAGCTGGGCGTGGCGGCTCACACCTGTAATCCCAGCACTTTGGGAGGCCGAGGCGGGTGGATCACCTGAGGTCAGGAGTTTGAGACTAGCCTGGCCAACATGGTGAAACCCCATCTCTACTAAAAATACAAAAATTTGCTGGGTGTAGTGGCATACACCTGTAATCCCAGCTACTTGGCAGGCTAAGACAGGAGAATCACTTGAACCTGGGAGGAGGAGGTTTCAGTGAGCTGAGACCTCACCACTGCACTCCAGCCTGGGCAAAAAGAGGGAAACTTTGTCTCAAAAAAAAAGTTAAATATTGATTTCTGGCACATAGTTCTCAACCAATAGTTGTTAGCTTTTATCACCGTTGTTACTACTACTACCATTTTAAGAAATGAATAACAAAACTTGTAATAAGTTGTAAAATGCTCCTCACACTCTGCCCTCCTACTGCATATCTTACCCACTTTGCTGTTGAATTTTCAAGCCCTGGTTCCTGCAAACATGAATGTATGGATGTCACCAGAAAAAAAACAAGAGAAACATTGACCACTTCTCAGTTCTTGTTAGAGGAAAACCACAATGACACATTAAATGTTGTGGCAGCAGGGTCAGTTCTGGCATGCACATGATGGTTCTCACAGGATGACTGAATTGGGGCAGGAACTGAGCGATGTTTACCTGGGTCGCTGTGCAGCGCACCAGCTGGAGCAGCAGCCTTTGCCTGGCGGGGTGTGGGGGCTTCCTTGGAGACTCAGATTCCAGGGAATTATAAAACACACTCACCGGCTCATTTCACACATAAAGTGGACAAGGTTGGTCATAGGAGGGAAGCCTTGTCTGGGGATCTGGATCAATCCTTCACTGAAGGACAGGGGATGAGGGCCATGTCCAGGGTGATAAGAACATGGACCTACGCTGCGGCTCTGGGTCTGCCACTTGCCAGCCCTGGCACTTCAGGCATGTGGCTCAAGGTCATTTCAGTCTCACTTTCTTCTCTGTGGAAACAGAGAAAAATAACTACTCCTTTACCGCACTGAGAGATACATACCTTAGGGTTCCAGTGGGTCAAATGGCTGGAAAACCATGGCTGCAAAGGGAAAGGCACTTAACCACATTGTTTCCCTATATTTCATTTATATCATCATTCAAGTTCTTTGACTCTTTCCATGCAGTTCTACATCTCGCTGTCAGAAGGAACAGTGTATAGGGGGATACCCAGATCTGGTCCTGGAGCCAAACTTAGTGGGACGCTGGGTGCAGGGCAAATCCCTTTGTGTGCCCTGACTCTTCACACCAAAACCCCATTATCCAGGAACCACCGTGGGGGAAAGGGGAAGCTGTAGGTCCTAGAGCTAAAAGAATTAAGAATGAAATGTTCCATAGGGACGGTGTATATAACAGAAACTATTATTTTCTGAGATGCAGTTGTGCCAGCTACTGTACTTACTGGTAATTAGTGGTTACAACCCCCTATTGCATTTGAATAAATGCAGGCTCATCGAGAGGCAGGTGATTTTCCTAAGATCCTAGAGCTTCCCAGATGGATTCCTCCTGCACACTACACTGTGCTGTAGGGACGGGCACCCCATAAGAGCCATCCGGATTGCACAGGTGACAGTGCTGGGGAGTCTTCATGAGAACCACTGGGCAGCTAAGCACTAGCTAAGAATTCTTTCTTCCTTTCTCTTTTATTTAACAAATGTTTATTGGAGCCTAGGAAGACCTCCACTCCCTAAAAATACTCCATGGAATCTGAAGCACAGTCCCTGATTCAGGAAGTTTGCACAGTAGTGGGAAAGGCCATGAGTGAACCTGGGTTTCATGGGACCTGAAGCTTAAGCAATTTGGAGAGCCCTCTTTTGGAAAAAGAACACCAAATTAGAAAGTGGGGCTTGGAGGGAGCACAGCAAATGAAGGGCCCTAAAGCTTAAGCCTTATGAGCACCACTGTAATTCTGCTTTTTGGGAAACAAGCAAGTAGAACAGTGATGACAATAAAATGTAGTGTGGGCTGATGAGAGATCAGGAGAGTCACTTAGAAGAAATGCCTTCTAAGGTGAGGCCCACAGAATGGGCCAGGGAGTCCTGGGAGAGGGAATAATAGGGACAGGATGCAGGCAAGGAAGAGGAGCTGGCATGGTTTTCAGGGAGTGAGGACAGCATCGTTTTCTCCTTCCTTTCCTAGATCAGGAAGCACCTGGGATGGTCCCAAAGTGCAGAGCCTTGAGCTGCCACACCCTAGAGGTTAACAGGACCCTTTCATCCGCAGGGCTGTCATCTTTTCTCCAAGCTCCCTGAGACATCTCAGGCCCTAGGAGAAGGCTTCCATACTTGGTTCTCACGCTCCAGGAAGAACACCAACCTGCTTTGAGGTCCCTGGCCTTCTTTCCTGGTTAGCTTACATTTGCATTTGCAAGAACAAAATGAGCCAGAAAAGCTTCCTTTGTCAGAAGTTAACCCTGAGGTCTAACAGGCTCAGAGAAAGGGAAGACAGGGGAGAGGCAGAGGGAGAGAGATATAGGGAAAAGACTAACCGTCAATAGGAAATCCTTCAGTGAGGCAAAAGCTTGAGCGACATCTACCCTAACCCAAAGGTGGGGTAAAGTTTGTGCCCCTCTGAAAGCATTCAGCAAGGTGTCCAAGGGGCTGTTAAGGCCCCTTAGGGGGCAGTGTGGGCTTTGTTTCCCCGTGTGCAGAACAGTGCCTTGCCTGTTGAATTCTGATGCCAATGCACTCACCTCTTCACCTCCCCAGCCCCCAGGCCAGGTCAGCAGCTAAGAGCGGATGGAAGGTCCTGATGTCTGAGCCTGGGTCTCTGTGCAGCGCACCAGCTGGAGCAGTGGCCTTTGCCTGGCGGGGTGGGGGGGCTTCCTTGGAGACTCAGACTCCAGGGAATTATAAAACATACTCACCAGCTCATTTCACATATAAAGTGGACAAGGTTGGTCATAGGAGGGAAGCCTTGTCTGGGGATCTGGAGAACCAGGCTCTCCTCTTGGATCTGATGCACTTGAGTCCTTTACTTTCTCTGAGTTCTAGTAGCCCCGTCTTTAAAATGGGAATAATACTTGCCCTGCACTGTGGTTGAGAAGAGGGGAAAAAGGAGGGATGGATATAAAAGCTCCCTAAAAAGTTCAAAGTACAGACCATCATTACATCTGAAGCCTGTGCCAGGTGACTCGCTCATCAGCCTTCACTGCATTGCAGCAACTCTAAGGTCACCTGCACGGAGGACACTGACCACGTTTCATTTGTGGGTTGGGAATGGACCTCCTCCCACTCCCAGGAAAGAGTCGGGGATGACTCCCACCATGCCACAACTCACACCAGAGATGAGGGCAACTTGGCATTTTAATGGGCAGAAGGAGAGAAGCTGGAAGAGAATGTCCTCTCTAGACACACCTAGCCCAGTGCATGGCCTCCTCTTCATCACACCTCATCGTCCTTATCTTGGCCCACACCTGCACCTGTGTCTCTTTCACTTGCACCACAGAGTCCTCATAGCCTTTTTTATACGGAATAAGATGGGGAAAGGGAGAGGAAAATGGAGAGGGGTTCAATTCTGCACTGAGGGTTAACCCAAACAGATCATCCTTATCTCCAGCAAAGGATGAAAGGACCCAGTGGGAGACGTTGCTCACTGCTCACCAAAAAGCCAGGCTCTCCTCTTCTTCCTGGGCACACTACAGGGCTGTGCTTCCCAGCCTCCCTGGCAATTATATGTGACCATGTGACTAAGTCCTAGCCAATGGGATGCGAGTGACCTGGCCCATAACACCCTCCCAGACTTGCTCCCCAGTAATCTGTTCTCTATCTGGATGGCTCCACTGGTGACAACCTTCAGGGTGACTGTGGAAGCCTGAGGACAGGGCCACCCTTTTGATTTGTTGACCTACCCAATACTGCTACATGAGCATGAAGTAAATGACTACTGTGTTTGAGCTTTTATGCATTTGGGGATCTACGTGTTAGAGCAGTCAGCCTACCCTAATTCATACAGATCATGATAGCCCGTGGGTTTTGCCACTTCCAGGAAGCCCATGTGACCTCTGCCTTCTTTCTACCGTCTTTATCTCGATCAAATGCTACCTTATAGTGCTATTTAATCATTTCATGGGAATAGTAACTAAAATTTAAACAAGGGGCTCTCATCTTTCTTTTCAATTTTATGCCATGCCTAGCAAAGTGCTGTCCCCAAAGAGATGTTTAAAAATCATTGGATTAAATCTTTAGGTTCACCCCTCTGTGTATTTAGTAGGAAGTTACTCCAGCAGGAATGTCCATTCTTTTTCTCTACCTCTGAACTTCTAGCATCTTGTCTATGCCCATTGTCCACCTCTCTTCTTCCACAGGGACTTTCCTTACCACTTTAGGCCTCAGTGATCTATCTTTCCTTCCCTCAAAGTCACAGCACCTTGTGGTCACTCACCTGATGATTCATCAAGATAACTTTTACATTATTGTCTTAACAGTGTAACTATAACATAACATATATAACATATATGTAAATATAACATAACTTACATATAATTTACATATTACATAACACTAGCTGTGTTATATGTAAATATAACATAACTAATTCTGCAGTGTAACTATAACATAATGATGCATTTAAAAGATGGGCAGAGGAAGAGGAGAAAAGAAACTGACAAGGAGACGTCAAGCAAGTAGGAAGAAAACTTGGAGAGTTCAGATGTCCTTGAAACTAGGAGAAGGGCTGGGCAGGTGACTCACGCTTGTAATCCCAGAACTTTGGGAGGCCGAGGTGGGCGGATCATGAGGTCAGGAGATCGAGACCATCCTGGCCAACATGGTGAAACCCCGTCTCTACCAAAAATACAAAAATTAGCCGGGCATGGTGGTGCTTGCCTGTAGTCCCAGCTACTCTGGAGGCTGAGGCGGGAGAATTGCTTGAACCCAGGAGGTGGAGGTTGCAGTGAGCTGAGATGGTGCCACTGCACTCCAGCCTGGGCAACAGAGCAAGACTCTGTCTCAAAACAAACAAACAAAAAAAGAAACTAGAAGAAGGGAGCATTTCAAGGCGAGAGGGGAGACAGCATCATTTGCGGCAAAGAAAGTGGTCAAATAAGGTACAGACCACAAAAATGAGTTTTAGCAGCATGGAAGTGAGAGATGTTTCAGTGAGCCCAATGATATGGGCTGAGGAGGGAGTGGGTAGTAAGAAAAGAAAATGGAGACTGAAAAATAACAACAAGGGACAGAGAGGAGAGGGTTAGGTGGTAGCTGGGCAGAAATGTGAGGTGAGGAAGGGTTACAATTTTTTTTAAAAGGGCTGAGACTTACTGAAGGAAAACAACCGGTAGAGGGAACGAGGGTGGAGAAGAGAAGTGAGGGGTGATCCACAGAGCAGAGTCCCTGGGAAGCAGGGCTGGGTGGTGCGGCCAGGAGACAGGTGGAGGCCTGAGCCCAGCCACCTGCTTCCATGATACCTGGTGGGATGGAGGAATGACATTCTTTCTTCCTTCCTAAGCTGTTGCCAGGTTTGGGGGCAAACCCAGCTGATGGCTTCTGTGTTTTTCAGAAAAGTAAGCCCAGCTATGTGCTGGGATGACGAGAAGCAGCCTCCAAGCAGGTCCTGACCTGCTCCCATGCCCAGCACCTCCCATCCTGGAGGCGATGCCTGCAGTGGGATTGTACGGCCACTTCCCACAACCCTCACCTCAGCTTCAGGAGCTGACCTGCAGCCTCGGGTTTGGGAAAATGCAGGGGTGGTCTCTGTGGTCTGTCTGAAGGCCCTTCGAATACCTTTACCTTCAAATTCTAGCTTCTTACAAACCTAGACCACAAATCCTTTATCTGTATTTTTCCTGAACCCAACTTGGATTTAACTGTCAAATAGATGGCCTGTGGCTCTAATGCAGCGATAAGAACAGAATTCTTCACTTTGAAAAGCCAAGTTGCTTTAAAAAAAAGTTGGGGGGCACAGTTTTGGCATACACCGAGTGACTGCATTTGACCTCCGCCTGCCTGGGGCATGTGGATAACGGCAGTGGTCCCATGCCGTGTGGTCTTCCTCTTGGCTTATCCCCCTAGCTCGCTGTTGTCCTAGTGGCCATGTACTATGTGCAGGACACTTTCATAGTCCGTTCATCCACAGAGCAGTCCTAGCCTCTTCTAATCTCCACTTAAGAGCCAATGAAGCTTCCAGAGCGCAGGTAACTTAAGTCACACAGCTTGAATTAGACTGGACAATGAGCCACCTTTCCACCGTGGCTGCACTGTGACCCTGGGTCAAACGGCCTCATGACCAGCCCCCTCCACGCCTGTCCCCTTCTTGCCCGGGTCTGCCGCCTTTTCTGCTCCGGGGCCTTAGGAATTCTCCTGGGACTGTGGCTCCCCTCTAACTCCCCTCCCTCCCAGTTGCTTTCTGTTCTGCTGTTCTTGTGGGTCTCTGTTCTCCTGGCTCCAGGCCTAACGGCCGCCCCCTCCAACCTTGGCCTTGGGAAGTCTCTTGGGGCGGAGAAGAGAGGGGCTGCCTCCTGGCCCCCACCCTGCGACCCTTCGTCCCCCGCTAAGCCGGGATGGCAGGCGGACTCGCCGGACCCCTTTTTAGACCCAAGGCTCTCTTCGCCTCTCCATCCGGCTCCGGCCGGGGTGGGGTGACCTGAGGGACCCGGTAGCCGACGACAGAGAAACTAGACCGGCCAGGACGTAGAAGGGTCGCTTCCCCCAGGCTGGTCCGGGGCTGAGCGGGGCACCACAGGGAGCGGAGACAGCGGAGGCGGTGAGAGCCTCGGGAGCCACTGGGGCGAGCGCGCCAGCGTCCACCAGAGGGCGCTGTCGGCTCGCGGAGTGGGGCGCGGGCGGCCTGGAGCCCCCCGGTGCGGCCCGGCATCAGAGCGCGCAGCGACTTTGTCACTGCAGGCTTGCCGGGTGGGTTGCAGAAGAGAGAAGAGACCCACCCATCCTCAAGGCACTCATTTGGGCAAGAAGGGAAGAGACCCACAAGAAGACTATTTCACACTCTTCTCATTTCAAATGTGTATAGAGCACAAAGTTGCATTTACCATGTCCAAGATACCGAGCAGCACCAACATGAGTCATCCTGGGTCTCCAAATTTAAAGACCTCTAGGGAAGTGGCAGGATCAAAGACAGGTACCAAAGAACTATACTACAGTATATTAGGGAGAGGCAGGAACTCCAACGAGACGTGAGGAAGAAGCGGTAGGAGAGTTGAGGGAGGAGTTACAGCTTCAGCTAGGGGATGAGGCCCGGTGCATGGAGGACTTGGGCCTTAAAGTGGGACAGATTCGCAGCTTTCCAACACATGTGTTGCAACAGAACCCGTGGATTTAAGCAGTTCTGGTTACACATTCTGTTACACGCAAATGCTTATCAGTGACAAAAGGCAATATTCCTTGCCCTTTAGCCCCAGCTTGTTGATCCTGAAAGGTAAATTAGAAATAAAAATGGATTCACCAAATATCCAGAATGTGCTAGAGATATATAACCTAGTCTGAACAATCAGATCAGTCATTCTGCTAATTGGTAAAATATCCACAGGGGAGCCTGGGAGACAGCTGTTAAACTTGGTTACAGGTAGCATCAAACCATCCGCCAAAAATACCTCAATAATTCTATTGGTATTGGGAGAGGAGACACAAAAATATAGAAGTTGAAGAACAACAAAGTCTTTCAGTCTTTTTGTTTTAAAGACTCTTATTACCAAACAACTTAAGGAAGAACTCTATCAACATCATAGTTCCCTTGAGAATTATGTTATTATAGTATAGATTATTATTGAAAGAATTATTATATTGCACTGTGCTAAGGCTAGTTTAATTTGGAGCCAATAAATTAAAACAAATCTAGACCTTAGGTTTATAAAAATGT